>NC_000010.11:79537034-79688549 GCF_000001405.40 Homo sapiens
GGACACAGGAAGGGGAACATCACACTCTGGGGACTGTTGTGGGGTCGGGGGAGAGGGAAGAGATAGCATTAGGAGATATACCTAATGCTAAATGACGAGTTAATGGGTGCAGCACACCAGCATGGCACATGTATACATATGTAACTAACCTGCACAATGTGCACATGTACCCTAAAACTTAAAGTATAATAATAATAATAATAAAAATAAAAAATCAGAGCTTTATAAAACTGTTTACTTTGATGCTGCTAACCTAGAAAATGACCGGCAGATGGCAGCATTTAGCTTTCCTAGCTTTCAACTTTGCAATTGCCGGTTTAAGGCGAGAAAAGTTGGTTTTTCTTTTCCATTCTCCTAACTCTGCTTGTTGTCAATGCCTGCCAAATGCCCACTGCTCCCATTGGAAGCCTCATCCTACTACCCCCTTGCTGAAAAAGCATCTTGAGCATCTGCAGAAGCTCCAGTTTGAGACCTGGTGGCAGGAGGGGGTACATGGACATGCAATGAGAATATGAACGCTTTTTTTTTTTTTTTTTTTTTTTGAGATGGAGTCTCACTCTGTCACCCAGGCTGGAGTAGACTGGAGCAATCTCAGCTCACTGCAACCTCTGCCTCGTGAGTTCAAGCGATTCTTCTGCCTCAGCCTCCTGCTTAGCTGAGATTACAGGCGCCTGCCACTGTGCCTGGCTAATTTTTGTATTTTTAGTAGAGATGAGGTTTTACCATGTTGGCCAGGCTGGTCTTGAACTCCTGACGCTCAGGTGATCCGCCCACCTTGGACTCCCAAAGTGCTGGGATTACAGGCGTGAGCCACCGTGACTGGCCAGACATGAAAGCTTTTCCTCTCCACAGAGCCCAGTGAAATGCTGATTCTCACCACAGCCCTGGGATACCATGGGCTGCAAAGCCATCTTAGGGCTCTGCTTTTCAGCTGGGGAAACAGACTCCAAAAGGCAAAGTGATGAGCTCAAATTCACAACAAGTTCAGATTTTCTGATTTGCAACTCTGTGCACTTTCCTGCGTTAGTTCTCTAAGGTGAGATCTACCCTGAAGGCATGTTCTGCCTATATGTGTGGAAAGGAGGCCAGAAAGATTTTTAAAAACCAAAATGCTACATGGTAAATAATAAAGGAACAGCAGAGAAAAGAGTGTTGGGGCTCAGAGGAGCAGACTGCACCATTCAGGGCTGGGGTGGGTGAGAAATTACCAAGTCAGAAAAGAGCTGTTGAAAACAGGGGAGCTCTCACCCTTAAAAACAGTCAAGACATGCACAAGAAAAGGAGCAATGGTGGAAATTCTAGATCAGGATGGCAAACGTATGGCTTGGGGCTGCTACTCTCTTTCACCCTACCCTGTCACTCGGCCCCCATGTCCATGACAGACATCAGTAATCAATCATGGGATTCTTTCCCCTTGAGCTCAGGGCCTGACCAGAATCCATTGTGCACAGTGCGCCAGGCTTCCTCTACCAACTCGTGGGAGATGTCACCAGAGAAAGCCTGTTGCTCCTCCTCATCCTGCCCTATTGCCTCCCTCGTGGCCACAATTTATTGTGCACTTACTGTGTTGGAGGAGTTGTGCTGAGCTCTTTACACACACCTTCCATTTAATTCACTTACCATATTCTCGGGAGTTAGGCATCCTTCTGGTTTTACACATAAGGAAAATGGGGCACAGAGGTGTTAAAAGCCTCATAATGGCAGAGCCAGGATTCAAATCCAAGCCCACCTGTCTCCAAAGCCCAGCCTGGGAAACTGCTAGATAGGTGGGATAAGCCAGTATGGAAGCAGGCCTGTGGTTTGGGCCTTGTTTAGGCCTGAAGATCAAGACTAACTAGGCTGCAGTGGAGCCTGAGGTCCAGAGAACAGAGGACACTAAAGATGCTTTTTTTTGTTCATTCATTCCTGAACCCACGTTTATTAAGTCCCTGCTACATGCCAGACACCTTGTAGATCCTGGGGGTATAGTGGTCAAACAAGAGAGACAGAACACCCCACCCTCAATCAGGGGAGACTAACAAGCCAGTCAAATGCATTATATGTCAGGTGATGTATGTGCTAAGGGGAAAAATGAAGGCTAGAGAGTAGTGGAGAGAGCCACATAGAGCTATATGTGGACTCAGGCCTAGGAGATAAGGGAAGGGATGACTTAGGGGCCTGAGCTTCTTGGAGTGACTGATGCATATCGAGATAAAGGCCCTAAGAAGATGGGTCCTGATGCTCTCAGGGAAAATAACGATGTTGGGGGGTGTCTGTGGTTGGGGAGGAAGGAGGGATTGCCAGGAACACATGGAGTTCCAGGGGCCTTCTTCACTCTGACAATGACAATGCGGCCGAGGGAGGGGGAGTCTTACCCAGAATACTCTTAGCTCCTGGACTTTCTCCTTACTCTGGTAGATGTGGGATGGAGGCAGAAAGTCCCACTCATGCGTCCTACATTTTTTGAGAATCTAACGAAATAAATTTCGCCAGGTGCAGTGACTCAAGCCTGTAATCCCAGCACTTTGGGAGGCCGAGGCAGGTGGGTCACCTGAGGTCAGGAGTTTGAGACTAGCCCGGCCAACATGGTGAAACCCCATCTCTACTAAAAATACAAAAATTAGCTGGGCATGGCCTGTAGTTCTAGCTACTCGGGAGCCTGAGGCAAGAGAATTGCTTGACTCTGGGAGGCGGAGGTTTCAGTGAGCCAAGATCACTCCACTGCACTCCAGCCTGGGCAACACAGTGAGACTCTGTTTCAAAATACAATACAATACAATACAATACAATACAATACAATACAATACAATACAGTACAGTACAGTACAGTACAGTACAGTACAGTACAGTACAGTACAATAAAAGCATGACATGTTAAAAAAAAAAAAAAAAAAAAAAAAGACCGGGCTTGGTGGCTCCTGCCTGTAATCCCAGCACTTTGGGAGGCCGAGGCAGGTTGGTCACCTGAGGTCAGGAGTTCAAGACCAGCCTGACCTACATGGTGAAACCTCATCTCTACTAAAAATACAAAAATTAGCTGGGTGTGGCGGCAGGAGAGCCTGCAATCCGAGCTACTCAGGAGGCTGAGGTAGGAGAATTGCTTGAACCCAGGAGGCGGAGGTTGCAGTGAGCTGAGATGGTGCCACTGTACTTCAGCCTGGGTGACAAGAGCGAAACTCCATCTCAAAAATAAATAAGAAAAATAAATAAATAAATTTCATTCCTCTGCCCACTGCCAGTATCCAGTCCCGCTGATGAGGCTGGGGTGAGGTGGGGGGTAACTTTTTAGCACCTGGGCCCTTACGTCCAGCAGGGCTGTGAACAGGGACTTTTTGTGCCAGTAACAGTAGAAAATACGGCAACTGGTGTTTGCCACTATCAAAGAGGAACTTGGAGTTTTGTTGAAGGAGCAAAATTGTAACCACCCAAGGGGTTCACCTTGCCTGCTGCCTCGACAGAGCCGATTGATCAAGACAGGGGAATTGCAATAGAAGAAGAGTAATTCACGCAGAGCCGGCTGTGCGGGAGACTGGAGTTTTATTATCACTCAAATCAGTCTCCTCGAGAATTCGGGGAGCAGAATTTTTAAGCATAACTTGGTAGGGGGAAGCCAGTGAGCCAGGAGTGCTGGTTGGTCAGGGATGAAATCACAGGGAGTCGAAGCTGTCTTCTTGCGCTTCGTCAGTTCCCGGGTGGGGGCCACAAGATCAGACGAGGCAGTTTATCCATCTGTGTGGCGTCAGCTGATCCAGCAAGTGCGGGGTCTGCAACATGTCTCAAGCACTGATCTTAGAAGCAGTTTAGGGAGGGTCAGAATCTTGTAGCCTCCAGCTGCGTGACTCCTAAACCGTAATTTCTAATCCTGTGGCTAATGTTAGTCTAGTCCCCAGACAAGAAGGAGGTCTGCATTGGGAAAGGGCTGTTACCATCTTTGTTTAAACTATAACTACAAACTAAGTTTCTCCCAAAGTTAGTTCAGCCTACGCCCAGGAATGAACAAAGACAGCTTGGAGGTTAGAAACAAGATGGAGCTGGTTAAGTTAGCTCTCTTTCACTGTTTCAGTCATAATTTTGCAAAGGTGGTTTCAAAATGACTATCCATGAGTTTGTAAAATAACCCAGGATGCCTGTTGTTCACAGCACATAGCCTGCTGTGTGACTAAGCTGATAATCAGCTAGACTTTGGGGAGAGAAAAATGCCAAAAGAAAATGGCCTTGCCCTGCTAGAGAGTCTTCAGGTCTCCCTTTGGATGCATGAGCAATATGGAAGGGAATGGAGAAGGAGGACAAAGAAAAGTCACCCTCCATAATTGGGACAGGGTTTGGAACTCTTGCGGCCAATTCTTTCATGCTGCCTGGCCCCACCTGCCCCGGAGACTTCTGGTGCTTAACGGAGGCTTTCTTTTGGCTGCCCTGGAACTGTGAATGGGCCTGCCTTGGATAATTTTCCCTCCAGGCGCTCTCTACCTGGGGTCTGTGAACACCCTCGAAGTAGTATCCACCATGAATTGTATGAATAATTACACATATGTGCACACTCATGAATACATGGACCCATGCATATGTGTTCACGGCGTTCTACAATTGCCCCCATGATATCTATACCAGTTACAACTTATTACTTCTCAGCTCCATATTCACCCACTAATACCTGCTCTGTGATAATGGACAGGATTCCCATGAGCATTTCTCCTGTACACTAAGCATAACGTGAAGCTTTCTCAGCGGAGGGTGCTGAGAGAACAGTGCAGGTGAAAGGAGTTTCTCTTCCTGGGTCTGGCTGGTGTGAGGAGATCCAGTGGTACTCTGCTCCAGTCACGTGCCCAGAAGGTCCCAGGCAACTAGTCTTGTCCTGGCATGGTGATCGCCCTCTTAGTATCCTCCCAACACAGGCACCACGCGATCCATGCCTTCTGTCCGCACTGGAGACCCAATCATTCTACATGCTCATACACTCAACCCAGCAGTGTGGCTCGCATGGGCTGTGGAGGTTTGTTTCCTGCTTGTCCAATAATTGCAACCAGCTCTAGACCATGCAACCCAGCAAATCTCTCTGCCATGTAGGGGGCTGCAATGATACCTTCTCCGACAATGTCTGATCTCCAGCCTGGGGAGGGGGCCCCATTCCAAGCTTGTCCTTCTTGGGTACTCTTCTCCACCTGTAGGGAGAGTAGCCCTATAAGGTTCTCTTTATATCATATAGTTGCTCTTTTATCATAGCTGAATAATTCTTTATATTAAACTTCCATTGCATAAACCACTTGTGGTTTCTATCTCTTGATTGAAACCAGTCTGATACAGTACTTGTGGCCCCCAAAATATTGAGATCCACCATACCTAGTCCCAGGTAAAACAAAAATATAAAAACTCTCAGCTCATTGCCTAGAACATAGAACACAATCCTTTTAAGCAGCTGTTACTACCATGTGTTGGAGATGGAGGTCAGTTGCCGCATAGGGTTGGCAGCTCTGCAGAATCACCTTAGACATTCCCTCTTGCCTGTTTAGCTTGAGCTGCATTCTCTCTGGTATAGCAGTAAAATAACAAGTGGCTAAAGCTATCACTTATGGAGCACACAGTTCATCTCAAGCAGTGGGCCATGAGTTTTGTATGCACTATTTTCCCCATTTTGCAGTTGTAAAAGATGAGGATTAATGAAGTTGGAAACTTGCCGAAGTTTTCACAGTTGACCCTGGAAGAGCTGGAATTTGAACCCAGGTGTATCCAATTCCAAAAAACCGAAGTCTTCACCACCACAATACATGCCTTTGTAGCATTTATTTCTGGGTCAAGCTCTGTGCTAAATGGTTCACAGTGGTTATGTAATGTGTTTCCTGTCACAGCTGTGTTTGTAAGCAGTGTTTTGTTCCTGTTTTATAGATAAAGAGACTAAATGTCTCACCCAAGGCCTCTCAGTTAGTGAGAGGTGGAGGCAGGATTTGAAACTGGTTCCCTGACTCCAGAGCCCACACTGCTAATGTCTATTATACTGCTTCCCTGGCTCACATAATAGAAGTGAATTTTGGGGTGTGAATATACCTACCCCTGGGGACTGTGATGGGTGAAACAATGGAAAGCACATGGCATTTGATTCACATGCAGTTCCTGCTGCTCCCAACAATGCCATCCATGTGTGTTAATAAAGGATACAGAGCTGGTGAGGAGAAGGGTGTAGGTATAGGACCAGGTGTGCCATGTCATCACGCTAACGTACCTAACCCTAACCCCAGCCCTAACCCTCAGGGGCAGTGATGGCCTACAGGCACCTGCATTAGGGTGGTTTGGAGGATCCATGTTCATCGCCAACCCTCCTCTAGGGAGAGGGTTCCCTGACACTCAACATCTGGATCTGCCCATGGCAGATCGAGCCACTACGGCATCTTGCCTATACCCCAGGCTCTGATGCCACCTCACTGACTGTGCCAACCCGAGTGATTAGCCCTCTTTGTGTGGACTCATGGTTGTTCACTGGTTTGGCTCTAAGACCCTAGCTGCTGATGGGGAGAGGGATATATGACACATTGTGAGATCCAGAATATTTGCAGGTTTCTAAGAAAAAGCACAACTATTCCAGATACTGAGGACCAAAGAGCATATTCTCCTCTAGGTGTTCATAGAGAGGCTTCATAGGGAAGCCACATCCTCAACAATATCCCTGCAACAGATGGGGATCAGTGTTCAAAACCATGCTTTGTATAATGTGTATCATGTCCCTCAACCAAAGCACAAAGCATTAAAAGTCATTCTTCAAGGAGTCAGTGGGAAGCAGTCAAGCTCACAGGTTCATGGCTCTGGCTAAATTGGTAATAGATTTAAGAATATTTGTCCAGAGGATTGAATACAGCATGCACTCTGCAGGCACTTATCCATGAGTAGCATTTCTCTTAGCCAAGCTTTTGAAAAGTATAGTGTGGCTCTGAGGTTGAGATTCTACTTGGAATGCTGGAACTTTCCATTGCCAATTAAGAGACGAGCCATATACCTTAATAACAAACTGAGCCGTGGCTTGACATAGATCCTCTTATGAAAACTCATGCACCAGAAAGAACATTTCTCTCTTTCCCTGCTGCCGCCAAGCGCCAAGCCCACCTTTGTGTGCTTGCATCCAACTGTGATAAGCCTATGTATGTCAAGTTGGTGAAGGCCCATTGTGCTGAACACCAAATCAACCTAATCAAGGGTGATGACAACAAGAAACTAGGGGAATGGGAAGGCCCCTGTACAATTGACAGAGAGGGGAAACCCTGTAAAGTGGTTGGTTGCAGTTGTGCAGTAGTTAAGGACTATGGAAGGAGTCTCAGGCCAAGGATGTCATCGAACAGTACTTCAAATGCAAGAAATGAAGAACTAAATCTTTGCCTCACACATGGAAAGAAAAGAAAAAAGAAAAAGAGAGAGAGAAAGAAGGAAAGAAAGAAAAGAAAGAAAGAAAGAAGAAAGAAAGAAAGAAGAAAGAAAGAAAGAAAGAAAGAGAAAGAAAGAAGAAAGTCAACGTGTTTCTGAAGAGAAGGCCAACCCACATCCCCTCCAAAGTGCATCAAGGGAGTCCCTGCAGGCAGAGCCAAGATTCTCTTCAGGAGGAAATTTGAGAGTTCCCTAACAGGGCAATGAATGGGTAACTGATTCCCTACAATTCCACATCATAAAATGCAACGGCAATAAAAATAGCCCAGAAAAAATGTAAAGCAGGCATGTAACTATATATCTTGTTTGGCTACACATACACATAAGCATGTGCACACACACACATACCTGCGGCCCATCTAATTTTGAGCAATAAGCCCTGTTAAAACTGGTTGTGAAATGTACACCCAAAGTAACTAAATGATTTATTGTTTATCATTATTTCCTATAAATCTCCCTAAATTTGGGGGATTTCCATTAAAATGATTATTTCAGATCCAGATTTGGTAGCCCTTGTTTCTGGATGTCATTAGATAGCAGTATTCATTGTCTACTAAAACTACTCCTAGTCCATGATACCCACATCAGGTTATTTGCATCTGAGAGAATGCTTGACCTTCTGTGCTCCACTGCAGAGCAGGGTGGCGGGGCCCTACCATATGCAACAACCTGCAGGGCACAGATACTGATCCTTTGGAGCTGATGCTGGTCAGTGGCCTGCACTGTGCCTAACAGTTATGTGGGTCAGTAGGAAAGCAAACTCATGGGCTATCTCAATATGGTTTCAAGTTAAAAATAAAAGGATCCAGGGCACATCTTTGTTTTACCCACTGGAAATTACAAGCAGGATAGTTCATATTTTTCCTTATATATTGTGTCAAAGGCTGGAAGAGGATCAAGAAAAGTCACAAGCCATTTAATATGATTTTTGGCAGGTGTTGTCACAAGATTATATAAATTACAACAGATGACTATGTTCTCAGCCTGTGAGCTGTGAATATAGGTCAGGCTTGCAAATTATTAAGCAAAGCCATGCAAATGGACGTTGCTTGCACATGCTAGAATAGGACGACTAACTCATTCTGGTTTGGCAGAGATTTTTCTTATTTTAGTACTTGTCTTAATCCAATAAGTGTTGCTATAGAAGAATACCTGAGGCTGGGGAATTTATAAAGAAAAGAGGTTTATTTGGCTCACAGTTCTGCAGGCTGGGAA
Organism: Homo sapiens; assembly: GCF_000001405.40. NCBI lineage: Eukaryota > Metazoa > Chordata > Mammalia > Primates > Hominidae > Homo > Homo sapiens. Next base: position 79,545,633 of record NC_000010.11, read on the forward strand.
GTTCAAAAAGTATGGTGTTAGCATCTGCTCAGATTCTGGTGGGGGCTTTTTGTGCTATGTCATAACATGGTGGAAAATCTCAATGGTGAGTGGACACGTGGGAAGAGAAAAAACCCAAGGGGCATCCTGGCTTTACAACAACCCATTCCTGCAGGAACATTCCCACAAGAACTAAATCCAGTCTCATGAGAGAGCTGGAGTGCACCAAGTCATTCATGAGGGATCTGTCTCTGTGACCCAAACACCTCCCACCAGGCACACCTCCCAACACTGCCACATTGGGGATCAAAGTTCAACATGAGTTTTGTTGGGGACAAACTCAAACCATAGTAGTACTGACTGTCCCAAATCCTGTGAAACCCCTGGGTCCCTGGCAAACCAGGAAGGTTGGTCACCCTTGCTGGAGGCCTTCCTCCCAGGTGATATCCCTTAGCTGTGTATTCACATTTGGGGGTGAGGCACAAAACACTGACTGCAATGTCTGTGGGGGAGCGGGGCTTGTTGACTGATGGAGCTCACCACAGAGTGTCTGAGCATCAGGTCAGCTCCTCATTGAGGAAACCAGCACACATCAGCCACTGGAGGCCCTTTGTGTGGGACATTCCTTTTCTCCACAAATGAATCCTCCGGACTCTGGCCTGTAGATTGTAAATTAGGTTGCTCACTCTCTGGGGACTGGGGTCCCATCATTCAATATGTAGATTGTGGTTTAATCCTTGTGTTTAAGCTTGACCTTACCTCCTCCTCCCAAACCTGTGTGGCTCAGACCTCCCATTCTGCAGTTTCTTCGGTTCAATTTATATGACAAATAACTCTCCTTTCTCCCCTGGGTGGAGGGGACCCCTGGCTGAAGAGGGTAGAGAAAGTGGCCTAGGGTTTCCACTTATGCCTCTGTTTTCCTGTTTACAGCCTCACACTGTACCTCACCTCTTTAAGTGTGGATCCTTTCTTAGACTCTGGGGGTGAAGTAGGGAGAATCCGTTGGCTTCTTCTTATTTTCTCCCTCTGGGGCATCCAAGTGAGAACATGCACCATTCTGCCAAATTACCATTCCTTTGTATACTATCTCCAAAATACGTGTCCAAATTCTTGGTTGCTGTTTTCTCCTCTCCTGTCTCTATTGTCCTTGAAGAATTTTACCTGTGCTCTTCCTCTACTGCCATTTTATTAGGATTTGGGGAGGGAGAGGAAATAAATTTGTGTTGCAAATCAACCATGTTTCATTGGACATCCATTTCTCTAGCAGTCTCTCTCTTGGTAACACCCAGTGGGTGGATGTTGGCACTTCTGGAACTATCTTCCATGTCTATTATCTTTTCTTTTCTTTTCTACTTTCTATTTATTTATCCAAGTCTGCTGTTTTCAGGGAGGATTCCAATCTTTCAGTTCACCAATTATCTCTTCAGCTGCATACATTCCACTCCATAGCTCATCCACTCAGGTGGTTTTATCTGTTTAAACTATGAATATATTTTTTGATTTTTATTCCCATGATCAGTAATACAAAATGAACACATTGTTCACCTCTAACATCCCTAATTGATTCTTTTCCATCCTTTCTTATTTGAGAATATTCATTATACTTACTTCAAAGCACATTACTGGTTGTCTATTTGTTCTGTTTAATCTTCAGATCTGGAGCCAGACAGCTGAGGTTAATCTGTGGCTTCTTATGTTAAGCTATGTGACTTTGGAAGAAGTTACTTAATCACGTGACACTTCAGTTTCTTCATTTGTAAAATGGCAATAAAAATAGTCCTACCTTAAACTCTTATAAGGTAGGACTCTTGTAAGGTATTCATGTGTCTATTGCAAACATAAAATAGTCCCACTTTATGTTTGCAATAGCGCCTGACACATAAATGCTCAGTAAATATTAGCTATGGTTATTATGTTTCCTCAGGTGGAAGTCTCCCTTTCATGGTGGTACTTCTCAAATGATATTTTTTGACAGTGGACTCATCTTTACGCATGAGATTTTCTGCAAGAAATCTGCTGGCCTAGCTTGCTGTGAGGGAGGGCTGGAAATCGCTGGATGAGCTTGTGCTCCATGTTGCTTTCAAGGAGAGTGCAGAACAGGCAGAGGCACTATCAGGTGGACCAGCTGTGCTCTCACAGCTGGTCTTTGGGATGTGGCTGCTACTTAACTCTTCCTTGGCTTTACCAGCCATATGGGGCCCTGTCCTGTCTTTCATTCCTAACACAGTTCATACCAGGAGACAGACACTGCTGTCCTGGTCATCTTGTCTGCCGGGGTGGGGTTGAGGGAGATATTCAGGGTCAATTCATCTAGCTCCTTCCACGGGGATACTTGTTTAACCCTCTGTCAGTAGTCCTTTGGTCCTGTCTTGTTCCAGGCATTCACCACCTCTGGGCATGGAATGCCTTGTTGCTGCTCCCACTATTGTAATATATACTGTAGTATATACACACAAGGATACATGTAGTATGTCCTTGGCTGCTGCTCATGAGCTGGGCTGCAGTATCAAATCAGATCCTGTCTGCCTTTGGCTTCTCAGAAACGTGTCAGTGCTTCTGATTCTCTGAACATTTCCTGTTAACTTTCTGAGAACACTGATTTTTTCCTTCTCTGTCATTTCTGGAGGATGGGCCTGGGTGGAGAGATGGCAGCATGCGCTCAGTCCACTATCGTGAAAAGGGAAGTCAGAAAATGTATAGAAAAGATAAGAAGTAAGCAGAATCTTGGGGAATGAGTAGGAGCAGCCAAAGTGAAAAGAGGAGAAAATGCTGTTGTAGGCTGGGGAGACAGCTTGAGCGAAGGTGTACAGATGGGAGACCACAGGGTAGGGTGAGGGGACACAAGCAATGCGATGTTTCAAGAGAGGCAAGACTTGTAAGAAAGAAGCAGGGCATGATAGTCTTATGTATCAGGTTAAGGGGCTTCACTTTATTCTGGAGAGCCTCTGATGGTTTAAGAAAGTGACATAGGCTGGGTGCAGCGGCTCATGCCTATAATCTCAGCACTTTGGGAGGCTGAGGTGGGAGAATCGCTTGAGTCCAGGAGTTCAAGACCAGCCTGGGCAACATACTGAGACTCCATCTCTTAAAAAAAAAAAAAAAAGGAAAGAAAGAAAGTGACAAAGTCAGATATGCATCTTATCCACTGTGGAAGTTAGATTTGAGGGGTGTGAGACTAGAACCAAGAAAACCAGTTAGAAAGCTCCTGCAGAAGCCCAGGCTGGAAACTACAAGGGCCTGAAAATTACCACAGCAGTATGTAAGGGATGGAGACAAGGAGTCAGATTCAACAAATATTCAGGAAGCAAAATCTATGGATAAGGAGGATTTTCTAATACTGTTTTCTTTAAATATCATAGAAAGGTACTTCAACCTTCTTCCACTGTGACCATATGCTTCTTTCTTTTCTTTTTAATTGCATTTTCTCCTTAAGTCGGCCATATGCTTTTTAAAAATTTGCAGAAGTAAGCTATTTTGACTGCAGATAGTTAATCCCATTGGTACTAGCATGTAAATTTTTATGACTATAGTCAAAGTTGAAAATATTTCTATCAAGTTTCATATATGAGCTGTAAGATTACTGGGCATTTTAAGTTTTCTGCGCAGTGTCTAATCTTAGTACTTTTCAAATTGATAGAAGCATTATCCAGTTTATCATGGATGGTCTTGTTGTAATAGTGGATTGAGTTTTATGTTGTCTTTGTAGATGTTAGTATTTCATATCAAGTTATAAAATTTAATCTTTCTTAGTGTGCACATCTAGAACTTGTGGACTTCATTGGGATAAAATACATCAGACAAGCTAAGATGCAATCAGATACAGTGAGATGCATAAGACATCTCATTTCACACAAAAGCATACTTCTATTTGCAATACTCCTCTAGTTCTGCCTTACTACACAGGAGCTCTAACAAAATACATTTACTGAAATTGCTCAAAAAAGACATATTTATATGTGTGTGTTATAAGTGTCTATATTGCACTATTGAGTATGTTCTCTACAGGAGAGAACTTCCATTTTAAATAGGCATGGATGTGAACAGGCTCACATGCTTAAAACTCTATACATATGATGGGGGAGAGAGTTTTCCATAGACTAGTTTCTGGCTCCATACTTGTTTCTCCTCCACTGCTGACATATTTCTGAAAGCAGGTGTTGGGGAAATGTTTATTATTTAGATATCATCTCCGACCCTGCTGGCTGAATCAGAACAATATTCCTGGAAGCCATTCCTACGCTGGAAGACTAGCAGTAATGCAACCACACACAGAAGTGACTGTAAACTACATAAAGCTGTCTCATGCCAAGCCAGATCCTAAAAATGCCTATGACCACTCCAACATGAGGGGCACAAGGAGCAATGAGATGGAGGGGAAATCAGAGTGGAAAGAGCCAGCCATCTTAACTACAGTCAAGTGCTGCACGAGGACATTTCAGTCAATGACAGACCATGTGGGACCCTGATGGTCAGGCAGGGGCACATGACAGGCAGGCGGCAGGGGCAGGAAGGACTAGCAGCTCTTCCCTGGCTAGCAGCGGGGGTTCTGCCTCCACCTGCCTCCCCAGGACAGAAGCCAGATGAGCTGGACCATGATGGTCCCTTCAGATTATCATACCATATTTTTCCCGTACCTTTTCTGTGGTTAGGCATGTTTAGATAGACAAGTACTTGCCATGGTGTTACAATTGCCTAGCATATTCTGTACTGTAACACGCTGCAATGGCTTGTAGCCTAGAAGCGATAGGCTATACCAGGCAGCCTAGGCATATAGTAGGCTCTACCATCTAGTTCTGTGTAAGTACACCTGATGACGTTTGCACAACAACAAAGTCACATAAGGATGCATTTCTCAGAACACATCCCTGTCATTAAGCAATGCATGACTGCATTTGCACTTAAAATCGCTTACTTTTGCAAAGTCTGTAAAAACATATTACCATGTCAAACATTGTTAAAGCCTCTCCCACCACGGCCTTGTAAGGAGCCCATGCAAGCAAGAGGCCCTGCAGTTTCCTGGTGAATCCATCTCTACTGACAGCATTTGAAAGATGATTCTGGTAGAGAGAAATACAGTTGCTGTCAGATCTCTAGCTGGAATGGCTTGTCAGAATGTGGTACCCCAGTGGGAGACAGAACCCAGGAAAAAAGGTACTAGTAGGCTGGTATTTATTGATACATCTGTAATTCTAGTACCACCCTCCTATTAAAGAAAATTCAAACAATCCAAAGGAATGCAGGGAAAGAGAAAAAAGAAACAACAAGAAAGCATATTGTACATGATATTCAAAATTTCAGTGGTGTGACCTGTTTGCTGACTAGTTAGAATCTCGGAAAAGGTCCTAGAGGGTCTCCCTGTCACAAGCATTGACCAATTTTTTGCCAGATCAGAAGAAGGTCAGGGGTGGGGGCACTGTGGGGGTCTCAGGGGAGTGGCTATTTACCAAGAAGGATGGAAGAATTCCAACTTGTAATAATTGATAGGGTTTTACCGATGTGTTCTAGAGCCTGCTGCTGGTTGTGTGGCCACATGGCTGGAGTTAGAGTCCCAGCTCTGGCAGAGGAGGCCTGGGTGAGGTTTGCAGGGGCTGAGTTCCTCTAGCTCAGGCCGTATAAGTAGCACAAATTCAACTTTTTATATTTATATTAATACTTACGATTTTTATATTAACGCTGTCCCCTATATAACCAAGTGTTTTCAGTCACAGTTCTTTGAGATGAGTGTTTATTTGAAGCTGGAGCCTTTATTTGCTCACAGTCGCTGTTTCCTAACAAATAATACTCCAGCACCCACCTAACAGGTCCTCTGGAATTAGTAGACTTGAAAGCATCAGTAACACACCACGTGGTTTCAGAAGACCCTACCTACAGTTGGGAATCTGACAGGTGCATGATGTGGACTCCCCACAGGGCTCACAGGTCAAGGAACACGTGCTCCCCACCAGCAGAAGGCAGGCACTGGACTGGTGCATGTGGAGTGGGGCCCTGTTGCCTTGTAGGTGTGGGACATTTCAGCATGGGTCAAGTGTTCCCCACACCAGTCCCTCTGCCAGGGCCTCATGTGGACCACCCTAATTTATTGCCTTTTCAGCTCAATGAGGTAGATACTGTTGGCATCTCCTGTTTACAGACTGGAATCTGAGGCTCCAAGAGGCTTAGGGACATGCCCAGTGGCCTGCCCATGCTGGAGTCCCTCTGTCTTCTCCAGAGCCTACCCTTGCCCCCTGCACTGCTGCCCGGTGTCCTTGTCCATGTCAGAGTCTGCTGTCCCCTCCTCACTGTGTGCTTCCCGCCTCTAGGCTGGCACAAGGTAGCTACTTGGGAAATACTGGCGAAAGTTGGAACAAATGAATGAAGGAAGGAATGAAGTCTACATGGTCGAGGAAGTTGGGTGGCACAGGCTCAGGCCATATTTTGGAATAGTCGAGCCTTCTTGAAATCTAATGTCTGCCCCCACTTGACTGTTTCACGCAATTCCTTAAATTGTGACTATAGCGAAAAAAAGAGATGATCAATCCTGAGGTGATGATTTCCCTTAATAGCCCCTTGAGATATGACCCCGAAGGCTCAGCTGGAGCTGCAGGGAGATGCCAACTGCATTGTTCACTGCCAGCCTGTAGGCTCAGAAGGGGGTGTTGGCAGAGAAGGAACCTCCCAGCCCAGGAGTCAGACTTTCCACTGGGAGCAGCCTGGGAAGCTTGCAGTCAGCTGAAAGTTCTCTCCCAAAACAGCATATGTGGCAGGTGCGTTCCCTAACTCCTGCAAGGTGACTTCAGAGCAGCTTATCTGGCTTCTGTCCTGGGGAGGCAGCTGGAGGCAGAACCCCAGCTGCTAGCCAGGGAAGAGCTGCTAGCCCTTCCTGTTCCTGCTGCCTGCCTGTCCTATGCCTCTGCCTGAGCACAGCTTTGTCTGGAGATCCTAAGCCCTGGCAGGGCTTTGTGCATGTGGTTCTAAAGGTGTCTGAAGCCCACTTCCCCAGAGAAAGAGACAGACACCATGAGAAGCTCCTCTGCCCAAGGCACCATTCCTGCTTTGACAGATACTCACACTCCAGAAGGCTTGTCGGAGGCATGCCAGCCACATTTGGTCCTTTCCTTTGCTCCGGTCCCTTTGTCTTACCTTGCCATCCTCCCTATTTATTCATGGAAACACCGCTGGAAGCCCCCAGGAGAAGACTCATGCTAGGCTGGGTGGATGCAGGGCAGCTGCAGTAGGTGGAAATGAAGCAAACCTAGAAGATTCCTACCCCAGGCTCCTGGATGTCCTGCTGAGGGGAGGGCCAGAGTGTGTTTGAAATACCAGCCTCATTCGTGCTCATACACAACATGCTTCAGTGGCCCTGCTCACCATACACCATACACCATCCACAGAGCTCAGGAAAGACATCACATTCATTCGTGAGCCCAAAGGCATTGGGGTACAAGCCTGATGGGGTACAAGCTAAATATTGTCACATGCCACTAACCACAGGAAGTGTCTCCTGCCTCACCCAAAGACTCTGCTTGTCCAGGCCCCTACAGGTAGAGTTGCCAGGTAAAATGCAGAGCACCCTGTGGAATGTGAACTTCAGATAAACATTGAATAAATTTTTGGAATAAGCGTGTCCCAAATACTGCATACGACTCACTGAATAAACTACCTGTGTATCTGATATTCAAATTAACTGGGCATCCTATATTTTTATTTTCTTTTTATTTTCTTTTTTTTTTTTTTTTTGAGACAGAGTCTTGCACTGTCACTGGGGCTGGAGTGCAGTGGCACCATCTCGGCTCATTGCAACCTCTGCCTCCCAGGTTCAAGTGATTCTCCTTGCCTCAGCCTCCCAAGTAGCTGGGATTATAGGCACCTGCCACCATGCCCCGCTAATTTTTTTTATATTTTTAGTAGAGATAGGGTTTCACTATGTTGGTCAGGCTGGTCTCAAACTCCTGACCTCGTGATCCACCTGCCTCGGCCTCCCAAAGTGCTGGGGTTACAGGCGTGAGCCACTGCACCCAGCCTATATTTTTATTTTCTAAACCCAGCAACCCTAAGATTATTGAGCCATCACCGGTGTAGATAATTGAGGAATAACTAATAGCTATTGTCCATGACTCATTGTTTGGTTCCATAGGCTTCTAACTAAAAAAAAAAAAAAATCTTACCTGGACTATTACATAATGACAGCTGTTCAGGGAAGTCCCCCAGCATCTACTCCTACAGATCTCAGGCACATCTTTGGTATATTCACCAGAATGATCTTTCTATGAGAAAAATATGACAAGTTCAGGCCTAAATTCAATATTCCTTTACAGTTTCCTGTGTCTCTCATGAAAAACAAAAACAAAAGCTTACTGTGTTCACAAAGGCTTTGTCCCTGGAGCCCTCCACAACCCTCCTGCCTCACAATGGTTCACCGTAGGTTTCATGGCAGATGAAAGAGAGCGAACCAGAGAAGGTCAGTGTGCATTCACATCCCAGGCCCAAGATGGGAGGAGGGAAGGGGTGCCCGGCTCAGTCCTTTCTCCTCCCTCCTTAACTGAGCTCCTGGGGTGGAGCTAAGAAATGAGATGGAAAAAATATAAATGTCATAAAAGGACAGATCAAATTTCCATCCTTCATAAATATAACTATTTATCTATAAAATATAAAAGAATCACTGGCTGGGCAAGGTGGCTTATGCCTGTAATCCCTGCACTTTGGGAGGCCGAGGCAGGAGGATCACTTAAGGTCAGTTCAAGACCAGCCAGGCCAACAGGGTGAAACCCTGTCTCTGCTAAAAATACAAAAATTAGCCAGGCGTGGTGGTGCACACCTGTAATCCCAGCTACTTGGGAGGCTGAGGCAAGAAAATCACTTGAACCCGGGAGGCAGAGGTTCCAGTGAGCCAAGATTGTGCCACTGCACTCTAGCCCAGGCAACAAAGAGAGACTCTGTCTCAAAAATAGAAATAAAAAAATAAAAGAATCAATTATCTTAGAAGTATTAATATTAGGAAAAAAATGAGAATCCAAAAAGATGGTTGGGTATAAGATGAATAAAAAATAAATCAAGAGTTTTTCTCATAAACCAGCAATAGTTAATTTAAAATATGATAAAATAGTAACAATAGCAAATAAATGCATAAAGAAAGTAAAAATAATCCTCCCAAGAAATGAGAAGACATAAATTTTCAGAGTCTTATTTACTTATGAAGTTCGGAATACACACGGTCCTGGATTTATGGAGGCTTGACTTAAAATTTATAGACTTCACATTGGTCCAAAAGCGATGTGAATTCAGGAGAAGCCACACTTCAGGTACACATACAACCATTCATTCACCTCCAGTACAGTAGCCAATAAATTCCATGAGATAGTCAGCACCCTATTATAAAATAGACCTTGTGTTAGATAGTTTTGCCTAACTGCAGGCTAACATAGGGTTCTGGGCATGGTTAAAGTAGTCTAGGCTCAGCTATGATGTTTGGTAGGTTAGATGTATTAAATGCATTTTCCATTTAAGATATCATTTTGCAATGTGTTTATCAGGACCTAACCACATCATAAGTCAAGGAACATTTGTACATGCTTCTCCTTGTTTTTCTCTTAATTTACGGGAAGGCTCAATAATGTGTGTGCTGGGTCCCAAGCACATGTGGAATGGTGACCAGATTAAAAATTATCATTCAGAAAAGAATCAGAAATTATTCCCCTCATTCTCATCTGATTTTGTGGGTCTTGATCCAGAGCTTGCCTCTGCCCAAGAAAAGCAGTAAATCCACGAGAGAGAGTGTTCGCAGGTGTGAGGGTGGGAGTAGTGGGAGCCTTTCTGGAGGTGGGACACATACGTGGCTGCCTCCTCAAGCAATTGGGGACATTGTCTCAATCCTGCACAGCCCTGGGGTATGGGGCAGTGGTCCCATTTCAAGCCGACATGAGACTAGGATGGCTCACTGAGGCCTGGAACTGAGCCCTGAGTGCCAACATCACTGCTGGGCTGCAGAAATCATTCAGGTGGCTGCGCAGAGGACGGAAGGCATTATATCCCCACCCACAAATGCACCACATGGATTCAAGATGCCCATGTGTTCTTCCAAATGGTGTCTGTAGCTCCCCAACCTCCAGCAGCATCATAGCGAGGAGAGCAGGTTGCCCCTCCCATCAAACAAAGAAAGCACATCCTGAGATTGAATTTTCCAATCTTGAGGAAAGTGGGGGCTCAGAGCCAGAGTTCATTTCATTTACAAAAACAGAAATGTGATGTTTCTTGGAACCAAAGCTATGGAAACTCATGTGAACACACTAACGATTTATTATGCTTAAATCATCTTTATTCAGCTCAGGGGTGGGGTGGCTGGGAGCATGAACTTCAGGTCCAGGAAGATGGGTTTGGATCCAGTCTTTGCCATTTGCTCTCTGAAATAACACTCAAAACATTTCACTCCTCTAAGCTTCAGTGTCCTTATAAAAAATTGGGTAAACAATACTGGTCCCGTGACATTGTGTAAAGATTGAATAGTACATAATAAACTGTATTAAAAGATTTTGTCAAGGTGTGTGGCACATGGTATGTGCTCGGTCAATAGCCTTTGTGTGTAGTAACGGCTCTGGTAGTAATTTTGCTAGCTGGAGAGATGGTAATAATTGTGACAGCAACAAGTATTTTTATCCCCATTTCACAGATGAAGATATAGGCTCAGGGAAAATAAATAAATATCCCCAAGAGTCACCGGGTACTGTGCCCACCCCAAGACACATCCTAAGACCTGGCACATGTTAATTTTAATGATTATCTGGGTGAATGTATTAATAAAAGGGGAAAGTGGAGCCGGTGGCATGGGGGGTGGTGTGAATGCCCACCGAGGTCTGAAGTGGGGTGCAGATTTGTTCATCAGCAGAAAGTTACTCGGGTCATGTCTGCAGTGGGGGGCTCTTCCCTAGAGGCCTTGGCCGGCTGCCTCCAGGTCAGGGGGCTGAGTTGGCATCCAAAGACTCAAAGGAGTGAATCGTACATGTCAGTCACAGGGTTGGCTTGGGCACCACCGTGCTGGGGCACCACTGGGCCCTCTGACCACCTGGAGAGCCTGACCAGGCCTGCCACAGAGACCTCAGAGTGCCAGAGAATCTCCACTGTGTCCTTAGCTCCACACAGTCAGGGCTTCCCTGAAATCTGCCTCTCTCTGTCATTATGCTTGGCCGGTACTGCTCATCCTGATGGCACTGGGCAGGCAGTGGGCTGCAGAGGCAGAGCTGAGGGGACCAGGAGGCAGGCACTCTGTGTGACTTTGGAGGATCCTTCTACCCCAAGGCCTCACTGCTGCCATCTGTAAGTGAAGGAACTGGACCAGATGGGGAATAAGGAGGCCTCCATCTCATGCCAAAGGCCAAGGCTAGGAGTGGCTGCCTGGGGTGCAGTGCTGGGATGGTTTGCAAGGGGAGTGTCAAGGCTGGTCAGTGATTATGGGGAAGAGTCAGGGCCCATCAGGGGAATGAAGTGGCTAAGGGTGCCTCCAGCTCTAATAGCCACAAGTGAATTCTGTTGAAAGGGAGTTCTAGCATCTCACAGACCAAGTGGATCCTGGGGATGGAAACTGAAGGCCAGACAGGATCCTCCCTGTCCCATGGCCTAAATGCCTCTCAGAACTCACAGATGGTCAGTCGGGAGTACAGGCAGTTCCTGTCATTCCACTGCCCATCTGTGTACATCTCCACACACTGCTCTTTTCCCCGACCTGCAGGCTCCCCTCGGTACCAGTTGGTGTAGTTTACAGGGGTCCCATCTGAGTAGCGGAAGTCTCCAGGGCTGGGACCCTCAGTCAGGCCTACATAGGCATATGTGTTGTACTTCTTCACGAAGCTTGCAATGGCCTCATTTTCCTCTGGATTCCTTGGGACAGCAATGCGGCCGCCTGCTCTGGCACATGCCTCCTGAATGGCATCAAAAGTGATGGACTGCCCATTGCTGGAGAAGACCTTCTCTCCTACTGTCATTATGGAGCCCTGCAGACTGAGGGCTGAGAGCAGAGGAGTCCAGGTCAGGCCACTGACCACTTTGTCTCTAAGCCACCTCCCTCACCTAGGGTCTCTGCTACCAGATTCTCCCCAGTCTCTCCATCTCTGCCTCTCTCTGTGTCTTCTCTTCCTCTTCCAATTGCAGTTTTCTAAATTCACTTTTAGACTCTCCTCCATTTATTCATTCATCTAAGTAACAATTACTTATTGCCAGAAATGGTGCAATTTCCTAGGATTCAGTGGAAAGCAAGACAGGCAGAGAACTTGCTTTCTTATGAAATGGGGAGTGAATTGTGTCTGCTTGTCTCCTCTTGGCCATTCAAAGACATCAGAAAAGCAAGCATCATTCCTTTCCCCAACACCTGCATGTGCACGCTTGTTTGTCATCTCTATTCTAGAAGGTGGTGCTGAGAATGAGGGGAATTTGTGGGAAACTCCTACCCCGTGAGGCCCAGGGGGTCCCCTTACCTCCCCTTGTCTGCAGGATTTGATGTCTGAAGTCGTGGAGTGTGGCTTGGAGCTCCTCATCTAGATGAGCTGGAAGCCCTGTGGAGAGTGCCCCACACAGAAGGAGGGGCAGGCCAGTGAAGACTCCCACTTGCTGCCACGCAGGCGTTTTGCCATCTGCAATCCTGGAACTCTGCCCTTTCATTGCTGTTAGGCACCACCCAGACCCTAGGCTCAGAGGGTCCACGAGATTCCAGTGTGTCTCCACACCCCGTGGTCCCCTATTCTTTAGTGAAGCCTTGCCCCTGCTGAGACCCCCACCCCTTGTCCTCTTTCCTGCTCTGTCCCTCGAGGGGTTCTGTCTGCCCGCCTCTGTGGGGCAAGTCCCTCTCCCGCACCCTCCACCAAGGGCAAGCATGATGCTCTCTGCACTGCCCTGATGGACTTGCTTACCGCTCTGAGCTTCAAAGTTCCCCTCTGTCTGTGGGGCTCCTGATCACACCATCTGCCTGGATGCCTCGTCCGCATTCACCCTTCAGACTGCCCCCAGGGCCTCCATCCCAGGACATGCCTCCCCTGCCTCCCAGTGCTGTCCCTCGTCCCACACCTGACTCAGTGTGTCCCCATCAGCGGTCATGAGGCACGGAGGACTTCCCACACCTGCCCTTCTCTGAATTGTGACCACACTCCCCAGACACCTCGGCTTTCTCCCTCAAATTCATATTCTCTTACTTAGGTTGAGCCAAATGCCCTTGGGGAACCTGCAGGGTTTGTCTGACCCCCATCACCCCTGTGTAACTGACTTCAGGTCGCTGTGCCCATGTTTCCACTGCCCACCTGCCCCGCCCTGCTCACCTGGAGGGCCTCTCTCGCCAGCCTCCCCCTTCTCTCCACGCTCTCCAGGGACACCAGGGGCTCCAGGCAGCCCATTATTCCCAGGAGGACATGGTGTTTCTCCAGGCGGACCCATGGGGCCTGCAGAGAAAAGAGACATGGATGTGTAGGATCTGTCACCCACAACTGGTTGGAGCTAGTGAGACTCGATGCCCATTATCACCGGGGCTGGCTCAGCTATCACTCCGTGGGCACTATGAGGACAGACTCTCCAGGATGCGCCATCATAAGGGCCCCAGGAACCCACCACCCCTGCAGACTGAAGTCCCACCCAGCTTACTATAGCCCCCAGCTCACTATGGCCCACAGCCTAGGGGCCTGGACAGATGGGCCTCCTGAAAAGGGGTCTGTGTCCCTCAGCTGAGGGTGGGGTCTGCAGCACAGTACCTGGAGGGCCAGGGTCTCCTTTGACACCATCTCTCCCGTCCCTGCCTGGCAGGCCGTGGGATCCAGGAGTGCCGGGGATACCAGGGCTTCCAACACAAACGTCCTTCACTTCGCACGCAGCACCAGAGGCTGCCATCAAGATGAGGGTGAGGGCCAGAGGGCACAGCCACATGGCTCTGGGTCCAGTCGCTGCTCCTGCCGGAGGGATGGCCGTGAGCCCATCTGCCACCTCTGCCAACATCTCCCCCACTGTGCTCTGTCAGGACTCAGGAAGCTGGGCAGAGCCCGAGAGGCAGGGCGGGCGAGACCAGAGTGCTGGGAAGACCCGAAGCACCCGGGAAAATTCCAAGCATCACCTGGCACCTGGCATGGCCTCATGCTTCAGGCCTCCGGCTGGAGGTTGTGGGGTCTCAAGACTGCTGAGGAGGAGGAAGAGTAAGGAGCTCTGGGGAGCCCAGGGACCTGGGCTCCAGTGCAGTCTCCTTTCTTTCAGTGCCTCACTATGTTACCCTGGGAAACTGGCTTCACCTCTCTGATTTCAGCTGAATCTTCCATGCTCTGCAGAAAACCTGCCCTGTCCCTCCCAGGCTGTTAGAAGGAAGGATGAGGTCACTCACTCACTGACTCACTCCATCTGTCCCTCATATGCCCAGTTACCTTCTTTTCAGGCTCCAAGAAATCAGCGACCTGAGAATGAAAAGAGATGAATAGGGCCCACAGCCTGGACCCTTCAAGGTGATCATCGGGGGGTGATGACCCTCTCACAGTCAGTGATGAGGTCTTCCTTCCTCTTGGGGTCTGTTCTCCCACTCCCCCTGCTTAGGCCCTGCTGAGTCCCTGGTAGGGATGGATCTGGCCAAGGAAGATATCAAAGCATGAGGGTCTTTGTAGGTCATCCATGTTGACCATGCTGTGAAACACCTCCCAGTGGAAAATGGGGAGTTGCCCTCCTTCCCAACCTGGGCCTTGGTCAGGCCTGTGGCTGCTGGGCTGGTCCTCTCTGCCTGCGATCCTCAAGCTGGAGAACACCTAGGGGATGTGGCTAAACTCACCCACACACAGAGCCTCCAGCTGCTTGGGTCTCTGCCTCCAAGTTAGAGCATAAAGGTGGACAACAGAATTTATAGCATGTGGGCTGCCAGGCTTCTTCCCCACCCCTGAGAGCTCTACCACAAAACCTGTTCTCCAAGCAGGAAATAGGCATAGTGTTTACACAGCACATTTCCCTGCAGAACACTCAGGCTGCAGGAATACTTAGGACCCTTGAGGGGAGCACAGAACCTGGTAAAGAAAAATACCAGGTCTGTAAGAAGAGAAATGCCTCACTGGCTAAGGTCACCCACTCTGCACTCAGGGAGCTCCACTGGGTTCCTGGTTTAGTTTCAGACAATGAAGAAGTCACTGCTTCAGCTGAGGTTGGTCAGGTTGATCCAGGCCAACCTGTCTGCCCTGTAACCTTGCTCAGCTCTGAGCCCCAGGACCCCCAGCCAGTGTCTCTGGAGCCTGCAGCCGAGTTGGTGGGCACATGGACAGAGTGGCAGGCAAATATGCTGCACGTTCCACTTCCCTCTGCCCTAGCAGGTTCAGCTGGAGGAGTCAGGGCAGCACCTGGAAGGTCATGGGAGAGCTGCAGTTTCTGTCTTTGGTAGAACATCACTTTGGGTGATGTCTGGCAACCTGCAATGGTGATTATGCTAAGTGTCCCAGTGATATATGAAGCCCTAGTTGTTAGGGTCCTGGTTTGAGCATCTGGATTAGGAGGGAATCTCCAACTGTGGAGGTGGTAATGATGGGAACCCAGACAGGAAAATCTCCCCTGGCTTATTTGGAATTGGTTTGAAAAATCCCAAACCATTGAGGAGTTTGGAGCTCTTCCAGGGAGCGGAAGCTCAGACAACGGACCCCACTCCCAGGAGCAGGAAGCTGGGCAGTGCCAATTTGTAGCATGGAGTCTTTCAGCTGCCCCAGTGCTGTCTGCCACACCATGTGGTGGGTGCTGGGCCAGGTGTGGAATGGGGGAGTCAGGCCAGTGCAGGTTGGGGGCAGGTGGGGCGAAGCTCCAGCAACTTGGCTGTGGGGAGGCAGGGCTGTTTTGCAGGTGATGAGCAGGAACAGAGGCCAACTTGGATGTGCAGGGCCTTGTGGTTGGCAGGGCAGGGCATGGCTTTAGGGGAAAGGCACACCTGAGTTTTGACCCAGAGCTGTCACTTATTAACCAGGTGGCCTTGGTCAGTTTCATTTTTCATTTTATTATTCTGAAACAACATCAAAATTACAGAAAAATTGCCAGTATCGTACGACTTTTTTTTCCCCTGAACCTATGAGAGTAGGTTGTCAACATGAAACCCCAACACCCCAATACTTTAATGTGTTTTTCACGCAAAGGCATTTTTGCATTATAACCGTAATCAAGAAATAAACACGGATACAATAACTCCAAATAGCCTTCAGGCCCTATGCAAAATGTACACAATGCCCCAATAGTGTCCTTTATAGCAAAGGATCCGTTTCTGAGCCATGTGCCTTATTCGGTTGTCACGCTTCTCCAGGGTCCTGAAACCCACAAAGTCCCTCTGTCTTCCCTTCACCTTCATGACCTGAACACAGTGTGAAGATCACAGGGGAGTTACTGTGTAAAATACCCCTCACTTTGTTTGTTTGTTTGTTTGTATTGCCTTACAGTTAGATTCAGGTTCTGTAACTTCGGCAGAAATACCATCGACACCCGGCTGCGCTCTTCTCCCATTCTACCCGGCAGCATGTGACTTTAGTTTGCCCCAAGACTGATGATGTTCGTGTTGATCATTTAATTAAGGTGGTGGGTGTCACAATTTGCCACTGCAAATTTATTCTTTTTCTGATTTTAATCAGTGACTATGTTGTGGGGACGCACTTTGGGACTATTGTAAAGATCCCATCCCTCATCACGCTCTTTGTTGCCCTTTGATTGATTTGTAGCAATGTGGACTCGTGAGTGAGGCTTGCCACCGACCGCCAGGGGGAACCATGCACTCGCCTGCGTGCTGCAAGGGACACTATCCGAGTTTGATGTTGAGACAGGTACAGTTTACCAGCACATGGCACCAGCAAATCTAAAGAATGTAGTTAAGAAACACAAGCTTGTCATTCTTAGCACTAAGAATTGCTGCAGTCCCTGCTGAGTTCCGAGTGTCCAAGCCAGGCCACTCTGCCGCGTCCACAGCCTCCTCCCCCTGCTCAGGCCCCATTGCCCTGGCCGGTCCGCTCTCCTTCAGTGCCCTTCTCACTCTCCTAGGGGCTTCAACCCCCATGCTGGGCCACCTCCCTCTGCGGGGACATCCTCTTCACACTGCCAGGCCCTGGGTGCCCACGCGAAGCCACCTCAGAGTCCACAGTCTCACTGCACTCCGAGTCCCACTCCCTGTGGCAGGACCCCCTCCTCACCCAGTGTGACTGAAACCAGGAAGACGACGCTTTTTAAGACTGAAGGGGCACAGAGTGGGAGCCATGCACCGCCCTAAGAACAGCCCACGGGGGTCTCTGCAGATTCGAGACCTCTCTCTCAGTGCTCAAGGGACTCTTTCCTTCCCCTTTCTCCAGCTGCACTGGGTGCTAGCAGTGGGAAGAGGCTGTCTGTGGCTGCTAGAGCTTTCCCGTCGTTTTGGATCATTGCAGCACTCTATGAGGCGTACAGAGAGTAAGTAAATCCCCATTCCATACTTCAGTCAACTGAGGCTGACAGGGGTTACATGGATTGCCAAAATTACCCAGAAATCCTCTTTCCAGCTCAGTCCTCTGCTAGAACCTTCCCAGAGTCAGAGGGATGTGCTTAATCTACCTGTACCTGGAGACAAAGAGATGCATAAATAGATTTACTAATTATGGATATATTTCAAGATCACTTCTACTGTCAGAATCTAAGGGGCAGCTCAGCCACATTAAGGGAATGGAAGTTGACGCTTCTTTTCCTTGATGCAGCCAGCATACTAAGCAATTATGTGTGTATGTATTATAAATATATGTACACACATATATTGTGTGCTGTATATTTACACACATATCTATATTACATTGGCACATCTAATAAATGTCACTGCATTCTTAAAAAGCATAACACAATAAATCTTTCTATGACCTAGAAATGACAAATTTTAATTTTCATCAACACAGCCCTCTCACCTCACTACCCTGAGCATTTTGAGTCTTCCAAACCCCAGAGAAACACGTCATGTTTTATTAAGGCTTTGAGGTGAGGGAGACAGTTTTTCCCATTCTGCGCCTTGGAGGAATTGAAACTGGCAGATGGCAGCAACTATCTCCAATGAAATAGGCTCAGGAAAACACACGTGCACATACACACACACACACACACACGCACACACACACACTGACTTTGCATCAATAAGACCATACTGCAGATACTCTTCTACAATAAGTGTTTTCTCTTACATACCCCAGCCATATTTTCAGATTGACACACAGGGATATAATTGTTAACTATAGTCTTTTCTTGGGGTTTGCTTGTTTTTAATTTGGGTGACTTATTCTTTACTCTTTTTAATTTTAAAAAATTTCTTATTTTTAATGGACACATAATTTTATATATACATGGGATATAGTGAGCTATTTTGATACATGTATGCAATAATCAATGATCAAATCAGGGTAAGTTGTATACCCATCACCCCAAAAGTGTATCAATATTTAGTGATAAGAACATTCACAGTCTTCTCTTTTACCTCTTTGAATGTATATAATGAGTTATTGTTCACTATGGTCACCCTCCAGTGCTCTAGAAGGCTAGAACTCATTGCTCTTGTCTAGCTATGATCTTTTGTCCATTGACCAAGCTCTCCCCATCCTTCATTCTCCTGGTTTTCCCAGCCTCTAGTATGCTCTGTTCTACTGTTTACGTCTGTGAGATTAACTTTATTTTTAGCTTCCACATATGTGTGAGAAGATGCTGTGTTTAACTTTCTCTTCCTGGCTTTATTTCATTTAACATAATGGCTCATCCATGTTGCCATGAATGACAGGATTTCATTCTTTCTTAGGGCCGGACAGTATTTCATGGTGTATAGTTATCGCATTTTCTTTATCCATCCATCCATTGGTAGACACTTAATTTGATTCCACATTTGGCTATTGTGAATAGTACTACAATAAACATGGGAGTGCAGATACTTCTTCAACATACTGAGTTCCTTTCCTTTGAATATATTCCTATGAATACTGAGTAGTGGAATTGTTAGATCATATGGTCGTTCTATTTTTTGTTTTTTGGAGGAATCTCCCCTCTGTTTTCCATAATAACTGTACTGCTTTACATTTCCACCAACAGTGTATAAGAGTTCACTTTTCTCTGCATCCTTGCCAGTATTTATTAGTTATTGTCTTATTAATAAGAGCCAGTCTACCTGGGGTGAGATATCTCATTGTGGTTTGATTGACATTTTCCTTAGGAGTAGTAGTATTGAGAATTCTTATTTTTATATTATATCTATTATTTTATTTTAGACAGGGTCTTGCTCTGTCACCCAGGACAGAGCGCAGTGACACAATCTCAGCTCACTGCAGCCTTCACCTCCTGGACTCAAGCAATCCTCCCAACTCAGCCTCCTGAGTAGCTGACACTATAGGCATAGACCACCATGCCCGGATAATTTTTTATTTTTGTAAGCATGAAATCTCACTATGTTTCCCAGGCTGGTCTCAAACTCCTGGGCTCAAGCCAACTTCCCACTTCAGCCTCCCAAATTACTGGGATTACAGGCAAGAGCCACCGGGCCTGGCCAAGCATTTTTAATATACTTGTTGGCAATTTATATGTCTTCTTTCAAGACGTGTCTGTTCAGATCATTTGCCCATTTTAAAATTGTATTATTTGGATTTTTTTGCTGTAGACTTGTTTGAGTTCCTTGTGTATACAGGATATTAATTCCTTATTGGATTAATAGTTGCAAATATTTTCTCCAATTCTGCAGGTTTTCTCTTCACACTGCTGATTGTTTTCTCTGCAGATGCTTTTTAGTTTGATATAATCCCATTTGTTTATTTTCGCTTTTGTTGCCTGTGCTTTTGAGGTCTTTCATAAAATCTTCACCCAAACCGGTGTCCTGAGGCACTTCTCCTGTGTTTATTTCTAGTAGTTTCATAGTTTTGGGACTTACATTTAAGTCTTTAGTCCATTTTGTGTTGATTTTTTGTATGTGTGAGAGATAGGAGTCCAGTTGCATTCTTCTGCATATGAATATCCAGTTTCCCCAGCATCATTTATTGAACAGACTGTTCTTTCCCCCAACATATGTTCTTGATGCCTTTGTCAAAAATCAGTTGACTATAAATATGCGAATTTATTTCTGTGTTCTCTATTGTGTTCCATTGCTCTATGTGTTTATAACAGCACCATGCTGTTTTGGTTATCATAGATTTGTAGTACATGTTGAAGTCAGGTAGTGTGATGCCTCCAGCTTTTCACTTTTTGCTTAGGGTTGCCTTGACTATTTGGTGTCTTTTTATGGTTCCATACAAATTTTATGATTGTTCATTCTCATTTTGTGAAGAATGTCATTATTATTTTAATAGGCATGGCATTAAATCTGTAGATCACTTTGGGTAGTATGGTTATTTTAACAATACTGATTCTTCCAATCCATGAACATGAGATGTCTTTTCACTTTTTTGTATCCTCTTCAGTTTTTTCTTCAGTGTTTTATAGCTTTCATAGTAGAGATCTTTCACTCCCTGGTTACATTTATTCCTAGGTATTTTATACTTTGTAGCCATTGTAAACGGGATTGACTTCTTGATTTCTTTCTCATGTAGTTCTTCTTGATGTATACAAATGCTGTTGATTTTTGTATGTTGATTTTGTATCCTGCAACTTTACTGGATTCATTTATCAGTTCTAAGAGTGTTTTTGTGAAGTCTTTAGGATTTTGTCTTTTTAAGATCATGTTGTCTGCAAATAGGGACAATTTGATTTCTTCCTTTCCTATTTGGATACGCTTTATTTTTTTCCCATGATTAATTACTCTGGCTAGGACTTCCTTAACTATCTTGAATAAGAGTAGTGGGCTGGGCGCAGTGGCTCACGCCTGTAATCCCAGGACTTTGGGAGGCCAAGGTGGGAAGATCACCTGAGGTCAGGAGTTGGAGACCAGCTTGGCCAACATGGTGAAACCCCGTCTCTACTAAAAATACAAAAAAATTAGCCAGGCATGGTGGTGGGTGCCTGTAATCCCAGTACTTGGGAGGCTGAGGCAGGAGAATCACTTGAACATGGGAGGCGGAGGTTGCAGTGAGCCAAGATCACGCCACTACACCACTGCCCTCCAGCCTGGGTAACAGAGCAAGACTCTGTCTCAAAAAAAAAAAAAAAAAAAAAAAAAAAGAGTAGTGAAAGTGGGCAACCTTGTCTTGCTCAAATTATTAGCGGAAAACTTTCAAATTTTCTCCATTCAGTATGATGGTAGCTGTCGATTTTTTTGTATATGGCCTTTATTGTGTTGAGGTACTTGGTTTATACACCTAATTTGTTGAGGGTTTTTATGATGAAGGGATGTTAAATTTTGTCAAATATTTTTTCTGCATCTATTGAGATGATCATATGTTTTCTTCTTCATTCCGTTGATGTAATGTATCACACTTATTGATTTATATATGTTGAACCATCCTTGCATCCCTGAGATGAATCCCACTTGATGATGATTGTATTTTGGATGTGCTGCTGGATTCTGTTTGCTAGTATTTTGTTGAGGATTTTTGTATCTCTGTTCATCAGAGATATTAGCTTGTACTGTTCTTGTTGTTGTTGTGTTTATGTCTGGTTTTGCTGTCAGGATATCAGGATAATGCTGGCCCCATAAAATGAGATTGGAAGAATTTCCTCCTCTTCAATTTTTTGGAATAGCTTGAAAAGAATTGGTGTTTTTTGTTCTTTAAAACTTTGGCAGAATTCAGCAGTGAAGGCATCTAGTCATGGACTTTTCTTTGATGGTAGACGTTTTATTATTGATTCAATATTGTTACTAGTAATTGGTATGTTCGGGTTTTCTATTTCTTCCTGGTTCAGTCTTGGTAGGTTGTATGTGTCCAGGAATTCATCCATTTTCCCTAGATTTTCTCATTTGTTGACATAAGTTGTTTATAATAATGTTTAATGATCGTTTGTATTTCTGTGGTATCAATTGTAAGTCTCCTTTTTTGTTTCTCATTTTTACTTATCTCAGTCTTCTCTCTTATTTTTTTAGTTAGTCTACCTAATGGTTTGTCAATTTTGTTTATCTGTTCAAAATACCAACGTTTCAGCTCAGTGTAGTGGCTCATGCCTGTAATCCCAGCACTGAGGCCAAGGCAGGAGGATCACTTGAGGCCAGGAGTTTGAGACCATCCTGGGCAATAAAAAAAATACTACATCTTTTAAAAAAGAAGAAAAAAAATCTTAGCTGGGTGTGGTGGCACATGCCTGTATTCCCAGCTGCTCAGAAGAATGAAGGTCTCTGGCGCTCATGAGCTGGAGGCTGCAGTGAGCCATGACAGAGGCACTGCACTTCATCCTGGGTGACAGAGTAAGATGCTCACCCCAGAAAAATACAAAAACAAACAAACAAACAAAAACCTCCCCAACTTTTCATTTTATTGATCTCTAGTCTGTTTGTTGTTTATTTCTGCTCTGATTTTTCAAGTTTCTTTCTACTAATTTTGAGTTTGGCTCTTTTTCTTGCTTTTCTAGTTCTTTAAGGTGCATTATTGTTTTATTTTTTTGAAATCATCTACTTTTTTGATGTAGGCATGCAACGCTATAAATTTCCCTCTTAGGTTTTGATATGTTGTGTTTGTATTTTTGTTTCTTTCAAGGAAATTTTTAATTTCCGTCTTAATTTGTTTATTCACCCATTGGTCTTTCAGAAGCATATTGTTTAATTTCTATGTATTTGTTCAGTTTCCAAAGTTCCTCTTGTTATTGCTTTCTTGTTTTATTCCATTGTGTTCATAAAAGGTAATTGAAATGATTGTGATGTTTTAAAATTCATTGAGACTTGCTTTGTGGCCTAATATATGGTCTATCCTGGAGAATGTTCTATGTGCTGATGAAAAGAATGAGTATTCTGTAACTGTCAGATGAAATGTTCTTCAAGTGTCTGTTAGGTCCATTTGTTCTGGAGCACAGATTAAATCCAGTGTTTCTTTGTTGATTTTGTGTCTAAGCGATCTATCAATACTGAGAGTGAACTGTTGAAGTCCCCAACAATTATTGTATTGGAGTCTGCCTCTCCCTTTAGCTCTAATAATATTTGATTTCTATAGTTTGGTTTTCTGGTGTTGGGTGAATGTATCTTTACAATTGTCATATCCTTTTACTAAATCAATCCCTTTGTCATTATATGTGATCTTCCTTGACTTTTCTCACAGCTTTTGATTTAAAGTACATTTTATCTGAAATAAGTATAGTGACTTCTGCTCACTTTTTATTTCTATTTGCATGAATTTTTTTTCATTCATTTACATTCAGTCTATGCATGTTTTTACAAGTCATGTAAGTTTCTTATAAGAAGCATATAGTTTGGTCCCTTTTTTTATCCATTTAGCCAGTCTATATTTTTTAATTGAGTAATTTAGTCTGTTTACATTCAAGGTTATTGTTGATAAGTGAGGATTACTCTTGTGATTTAAACAGTTGTTTTCTGATTATTTTGTCTCTTCTTTGTTACTTCCTCTCTTATTGTTTATCTTCGTAGTTTGTTGGTTTTCTGTAGTGATAAATTTTGATTGCTTTCTCTTTCTCATTTGTATGTTTTCTCTACCAATGAGTTTTATACTTTCACATGTTTTCACAAAGGTAGTTATTTTTCCTTCACTTCCAGGTATAGGAGTCCCTTAAGGATTTTTTATAAGGCTAGTCTAGTAGTGATGAATTTTCTCTAGTTTTGTTTGCCTGGGAAAGTCTTTATTTCTCTTTCATCTCTGAATAATAGCTTTGCTGGGTGTAGTATTCTTTTCTGACAGTTTTTTTTCCAACACTTTGAAAATTATCTTATTCTCTCCTGACTTCTAGGGTTTATTCTAAGAAACCTGCTGTTAGTCTAATAGGGATTCCCTTATTTTGACTTAGCACATTTTTCTTACTGCTTTGACTATCTTTGACTTTTGACAGTTTATTTACAATGAGCTTCAGTGAAAACGTTTTTGGATTGAATCTATCCAAACTCCTGGAAAACATTATGCTTTAGGCTTTGAGGAGAGGCAGCCAGCTTTCCTCATTCTGCCACCTTGGAGGAATTGAAATTCTCAGGTGGCAGCAAATGTCTCCAAAGAAATAGACTCAGAAATTCTCTCTCTCTCTTACTTTGCACCAAAAAGATCATACTGCAGATACTCTTCTACAACTAGTGTTACATACCTCAGACATCCAGACATCTATTCAAATTCTGCAATTAGTGATTTCCCTTACATCCCTCAGGCATCTTTTCAGATGAACACATATAGACCTAATTATAACTATACTCTTTTCTTGGGGGTTGCTTGTTTTTAATTTTGGTAATGTATTCTTCACTATCTTTTTAACTTTTTGGAAAAACTTGTGCACCATAATAAACAAAAAAGATAACAGATAAGTTTACATTTCAGTGAGTTGTTACAAATTAAAACCTATAAAACTACCAACCAGTCAAAAAGTAAACTTTGCCAGCACCACAGAGACCTTCTTGTATGGTCAGTTTCTATGCCCTCTCTCTTACCTATAGGAACTCATTATTCTAACCTCTGTTGCCATTGATTAGGTTCCCTGTTCTTGAAATTTATATAAAGGACATACTTATACACTAGGGAATTTTGGGGTCTGGCTACTTTGGATCGCCATTGTATGTGTGAGATTGATCTATGTTGTTGCACATGGCAATAGTGTGTTCATTGCTGACCAATATTCTACTAGATGAATATATGACAACTGGTTCTTTACTATGGTGTTGACAGACAGTGATTTTTTCAGTTTCAATTTAGTATGTATAATGCTGATGTGAACATTCTTGTACATAAAGCTGTCAGGTTATGAGGTTTTCATATGTTAAAATATTAAAGTATTAAAGTATATTCTGGATGGGATTCCAAGATGGCTGAATAGGAACAGCTCTGGTCTGCAGCTCCCAGCGTGATTGAGACAGAAGATGGGTGATTTCTGCATTTCCAACTGAGGTAAGTGGTTCATCTCACTGGGACTGGTCAGAAAGTGGGTGCAGCCCATGGACGGTGAGCCAAAGCAGGGTGGGGCATTGCCTCACCTAGGAAGTGCAGGAGGTTGGGGGATTTCCCTTTCCTAGCCAAGGGAAGCTGTGACAGATTGTACTGGGAAAATCGGGAAACTGCCACCTAAACACTGTGCTTTTCCAATGGTCTTATCAAATGGCACACCAGGAGATTATATCCCGCACATGGCTCAGTGGGTCCCATGCCCATGGAGCCTTGCCACTGCTAGTCCCAGACAGAACTGCGAGGCAGCAAGCCTGGCTGGGGGAGGGGCGTCTACAATTGCTGAGACTTGAGTAGGTAAACAAAGCAGCCAGGAAGCTCGAACTGGGTGGAGCCCACTGCAGCTCAACAGCCTACCTCTGTAGACTCCGCCTCTGGGGGCATGACACAGCTGAACAAAAGGCAGCAGAAACCTCTGCAGACTTAAACATCCCTGTCTGACAGCTCTGAAGGAGCAGTGGTTCTCTCAATGTGGTGTTTGAGCTCTGAAAATGGACAGACAGCCTCCTCAAGTGGGTCCCTGACCCCCACATAGCCTAACTTGGAGACACCTCCCAGTAGGGGCCAACTGACACCTCATACAGCCAGGTGCCCTCTGAGACGAAGCTTCCAGAGGAAGGATCAGGCAGCAATATTTGCTGTTCTGCAATATTTGCTGTTCACCTGTCCTGGTGAAACCCAGGCAAACAGGGTCTGGAGTGGACCTCCAGCAAACTCCAACAGACCTGCAGCTGAGGGACCTGACTGTTAGAAAGAAAACTAACAAACAGAAAGGAATAGCATCAACATCAATAGAAAGGACATCCACACCAAAATCCCATATGTAGGTCACCATCATCAAAGGCCAAAGGTAGATAAAACCACAAAGATGGGGAGAAACCAGAGCAGAAAAGCTGAAAATTCTAAAAACCAGAGTGCCCCTTCTTCTCCAAAGGATTGCAGCTCCTCACCAGCAACAGAACAAAGCAGGACAGAGAATGACTTTGATGAGCTGACAGAAGTAGGCTTCAGAAAGTCGGTAATAACAAACTTCTCCAAGCTAAAGGAGGATGTTCAAACCCATCACAAGGAAGCTAAAAACTTGAAAAAAGATTAGACGAATGGCTAAGTAGAATAAACAGTGTAGAGAAGACCTTAAATAACCTGATGGAGCTGAAAACCACAGCATGAGAACTACGTGATGCGTGCACAAGCTTCAGTAGCGGATTCAATCAAGTGGAAGAAAGGGTATCAGTGATTGAAGATCAAATTAATGAAATGAGAAGTTTAGAGAAAAAAGAGTAAAAAGAAATGAACAAAGCCCCCAAGAAATATGGGACTATGTGAAAAGACCAAATCTACATCAGATTGGTGTACATGAAAGTGATGGGGAGAATGGAACCAAGCTGGAAAACACTCTTCAGGATATTATCCAGGAGAACTTCCCCAATGTAGCAAGGCAGGCCAACATTCAAATTCAGGAAATACAGAGAACACCACAAAGATACTCCTTGAGAAAAGCAACCCCAAGACACATGTTTGTCAGATTCACCAAGGTTGAAATGAAGGAAAAAATGTTAAGGGCAGCCAGAGAGAAAGGTCAGGTTACCCACAAAGGGAAGCCCATCAGACTAACAGAGGATCTCTCGGCAGAAACCCTTCAAGCCAGAAGGGAGTGGGGGCCAATATTCAACATTCTTAAAGAAAAGAATTTTCAACCCAGAATTTCATATCCAGCCAAACTAAGCTTCATAAGTGTAGGAAAAATAAACTCCTTTACAGACAAGCAAATGCTGAGAGATTTTGTCACCACGAGGCCTGCCCTAAAAGAGCTCCCGAAGGAAGCACTAAAAATGGAAAGGAACAACCAGTACCAGCCACTGCAAAACATGCCAAACTGTAAAGACCATCGATGCTAGGAAGAAACTGCATCAACTAATGGGCAAAATAACCAGCTAACATCATGGCTAAATGCTCCAGTTAAAAGACACAGACTGGCAATTTGGATAAAGAGTCAAGACCCATCAGTGTGCTGTATTCAGGAGACCCATCTCACATGCAGAGATGCACATAGACTCAAAATAAAGGGATGGAGGAAGATCTACCAAGCAAATGGAAAGCAAACAAAAAAGAAAAAGAAAAAAAAAAAGCAGGGATTGAAATCCTAGTCTCTGATAAAACAGACTTTAAACCAGCAAAGATCAAAAGAGACAAAGAGGGCCATTACATAATGGTAAAGGGATCAATTCAACAAGAAGAGCTAACTATCCTAAATATACATGTACCCAACACAGGAGCACCTAGATTCATAAAGCAAGTTCTGAGATACTTACAAAGAGACTTAGACTCCCACACAATAATAATAATAGGAGACTTTAACACCCCACTGTCAATATTAGACAGATCAATGAGACAGAAGGTTAACAAGGATATCCAGGACTTGAACTCAGTTCTACACCAAGCAGACCTAATAGACATCCACAGAACTCTCCACCCCAAATCAACAGAATATACATTCTTCTCAGCACCACATCACACTTATTCCAAAATTGACCACATAGTTGGAAGTAAAGCACTCCTCAGCAAATGTAAAAGAACAGAAATCACAACAAACTGTCTCTCAGACCACAGTGCAATCAAATTAGAACTCAGGATTAATAAACTCTCTCAAAACTGCACAACTACATGGAAACTGAACAACCTGCTCCTGAATTACTACTGGGTAAATAACAAAATGAAGGCAGAAATAAAGATGTTCTTTGAAACCAATGAGAACAAAGACACAACGTAGCAGAATCTCTGGGACACATTTAAAGCAGTGTGTAGAGGGAAATTTATAGCACTAAATGCCCATAAGAGAAAGCAGGAAAGATATAAAATTGACACCCTAACATCACAATTAAAAGAACTAGAGAAGCAAGAGCAAACAAATTCAAAAGCTAGCAGAAGGCAAGAAATAAGATCAGAGCAGAACTGAAGGAGATAGAGACAAAAAAACCCTTAAAAAAATCAATGAATCCAGGAGCTGGTTTTTTGAAAAGAAAAGCAAAATTGATAGACTTCTAACAAGACTAATAAAGAGGAAAAGAGAGAAGAATCAAATAGACACAATAAAAAATGATGAAGGGGATATCACCACCGATCCCACAGAAATGCAAACTACCATCAGAGAATACTATAAACACCTGTACACAAATCAACTAGAAAATATAGAAGAAATGGATAAATTCCCAGACACATACATCCTCCTAGACTAAAGCAGGAAGAAGTTGAATCTCTGAATAGACCAATAACAGGTTCTGAAATTAAGGCAATAATTAATAGCCTACCAACCAAAAAAAGTCCAGGACCAGACGGATTCACAGCCGAATTCTGCCAGAGGTACAAAGAGGAGTTGGTACCGTTCCTTCTGAAACTATTTCAATCAATAGAAAAAGAGGGAATCCTCCCTAACTCATTTTATGAGGCCAGCATCATCCTGATACCAAAGCCTGGCAGAGACACAAACAAAAAAAGAGAATTTTAGACCAATATCCCTGAAGAACGTTGATGTGAAAATCCTCAATAAAATACTGGCAAACCGAATCTAGCAGCACATCAAAAAGCTTATCCCCCATGATCAAGTCGGCTTCATCCCTGGGATGCAAGGCTGGTTCAACATATGCAAATCAATAAACGTAATCCATCACATAAACAGAACCAAAGACAAAAACCACATGATTATCTCAATAGATGCAGAAAAGGCCTCTGACAAAATTCAACAGCGCTTCATGCTAAAAACTCTCAATAAACTAGGTATTGATGGAATATATCTCAAAATAATAAGAGCTATTTATGACAAACGCACAGCCAATATCATACAGAATGGGCAAAACCTGGAAGCATTCCCTTTGAAAACTGGCACAAGACAGGGATGCCTCCTCTCACCACTCCTTTCAACATAGTGTTGGAATTTCTGGCTAGGGCAATCAGGCAAGAGAAAGAAATAAAGAGTATTTAATTAGGAAAAAAGGAAGTCAAATTGTCCCTGTTTGCAGATGACATGATTGTATATTTAGAAAACCCCATCATCTCAGCCCAAAATCTTCCTTAAGCTGATAAGCAACTTCAGCAAAGTCTCAGGATCCAAAATCAATGTGCAAAAATCACATTCTTAAACACCAATCCCAGACAAACAGAGAGCCAAATCATGAGTGAACTCCCATTCACAATTGCTACAAAGAGAATAAAATACCTAGGAATCCAACTAACAAGGGATGTGAAGGACCTCTTCAAGGAGAACTACAAACCACTGCTCAATGAAATAAAAGAGGACACAAACAAATGGAAGAATATTTCATGCTCATGGATAGGAAGAATCAATATTGTGAAAATGGCCATACTGCCCAAGGTAATTTATGGATTCAAGGCCATCCCCATCAAGCTACCAATGACTTTCTTCACAGAATTAGAAAAAACTACTTTAAGTTCATATGGAACCAAAAAAGGGCCCACGTTCCCAAGAAAATCCTAAGCCAAAAGAACAAAGCTGGAGGCATCACGTTACCTGATTTCAAACTATACTACAAGGCTACAGTAATCAAAACAGCATGGTAATGGTACCAAAACAGAGATATTGATGAATGGAGCAGAACAGAGGCCTCAGAAATAACACCACACATCTACAACCATCTGATCTTTGACAAACCTGACAAAAACAAGAAATGGGGAAAGGATTCCCTATTAATAAATGGTGCTGGGAAAACTGGCTAGCCATATGTAGAAAGCTGAAACTGGATCCCTTCCTTACACCTTATACAAAAAATTAATTCAAGATGGATTAAAGACTTAAATGTTAGACCTGAAACCATAAAAACCCTAGAAGAAATCCTAGGCAATAGCATTCAGGACATAGGCATGGGCAAGGACTTCATGTCTAAAACAGCAAAAGCAATGGCAACAAAAGCCAAAACTGACAAATGGGATCTAATTAAACTAAAGAGGTTCTGCACAGCAAAAGAAACTACCATCAGAGTGAACAGGCAACCTACAGAATGGGAGAAAATTTTTGCAATCTACCCATCTGACAAAGGGCTAATATCCAGAATCTACAAAGAACTTAAACAAATTTACAAGAAAAAAATCAAACAACCTCATCAACAAGTGGGCAAACGATATGAACAGACACTTTTCAAAAGAAGACATTTATGCAGCCAACAGACACATGAAAAAATGCTCATCCTCAATGGTCATCAGAGAAATGCAAATCAAAACCACAATGAGATACCATCTCACACCAGTTAGAATGGCGATCATTAAAAAGTCAGGAAACAACAGGTGCTGGAGAGGATGTGGAGAAATAGGAATGCTTTTACACCATTGGTTGGAGTGTAAACTAGTTCATTCATTGTGGAAGACAGTGTGGCGATTCCTCAAGGATCTAGAACTAGAAATACCATTTGACCCAGCAATCCATTACTGGGCATATACCCAAAGGATTATAAATCATGCTACTATAAAGATACATGCACACGTATGTTTATTGCGGCACTATTCACAATAGCAAAGACTTGGAACCAACCCAAATGTCAATCAATGATAGACTGGATTAAGAAAATGTGGCACATATACACCATGGAATACTATGCAGCCATAAAAAAGGATGAGCTCATGTCCTTTGTAACAACATGGATGAAGCTGGAAACCATCATTCTGAGCAAGCTATCACAAGGACAGAAAACCAAACACCGCATGTTCTCACTCATAGGTGGGAATCGAACAATGAGAACACATGGACACAGGGCGGGGAACATCACTCACTGGGGCCTGTCATGGGGTGGGGGGAAGGGGGAGGGATAACATTAGGAGAAATACCTAATGTAAATGACGAGTTAATGGGTGCAGCAAACCAACATGGCACATGTATACCTATGTAACAAACCTGCATGTTGTGCACATGTACCCTAGAACTTATAGTTTAAAAAAAAGAAAAAATAAAATAAAATAAAATATATTCTGTCAAACTGTTTTTCAAATTCCAACAATTTCTCCTTCTATCAGCAGTATTTGACATTTCCAGTTGCTGTATATTCTCACCAACATTTGTCCATATTTTAAATTTTAGCCAGTCGTTAATCTACACATCCAAAAAACTCAACAAATTTCAAGTAGGATAAACTCAAAGAAATCCACACCTAGATATATCATAATCAAACTTTTGTTCAAATATTTTACTTTTGTTGAAAGCAAAAGACAATAAGTAAATCTTAAGAATTCTATATGAGGGAAAGAGCATCAGAGTGGCATACTTGTTTATCCAGTAGCACACAGCCTCCAGGGGCCAGACAGGATGAAAGCAGCAATAAAGGGTTGAGGTCAGAAGGCTCAGTGTTTCCCAGTGATATAGCCCTCTTGCATTAATATTGGTCTCAGGCCTGTAAGGCTGTTTCAAAATTGGAAAATAAATTAATGCAACCCATCACATCAACATGTGAAATAAGGAAAATCACACGATCATATCAGTAGATACAGAAGAAGCATTTGACAAAACCCAAAACTCTCAGTAAACTATGAATAGGGTTTACTACTTAATAAAAAATATCTATTAAAAGACCTTCAGCTGATAGTTAATAGTGAGAAACCCAAAATTTTACCACTAAGATTATGAAAAAGGCAAGTTTGTCCCTACTTACAAGTAGTTTTCAACATGTTTCTGAAAGTCTTAGCTAATGCAATAAGACAAAAAATGGAAGTCAGAGGTATATATATTGGGATGGAAGAGAAAACAATGTCTTTGTTCACACATAACATAATGAGTTGTGTAAAAAAATCTTAAACAACCAAGAAAAAACTGGAATTACTAAACAGTTATGGCAAGGTTACAGGATACAAATTTAATACAAAAAATCACTTTTCTATATGCCAGCAATGAATAAGTAAAATTTGAAATTAAAAACACAATACCATTTACATTACCACCCCCAAAATAAAATACTAGGGCATACATCTAACAAAATATGTATAAGACCTATATAAGGAAAACCACAAAACTCTGATAAAAGGAATCAAAGAAGAGCTCAATAAATGGAGAGATATTCCATGTTCAAAGATAGAACGACTTAATATTGTTAAGATGCCAATTATTTCCAGATTGATTTATAGATTTAATAAAATTTCAAGTTAAATCACAGAAAATTATTTCGGAGGTATTGATAAGCTGATTCTAAAGTGTATGTGGAGAGGCAAAAGACACAGAATAGCCAACACAATATTGAAGAAGAGTAAAGTTGGAGGACTGACACTACCTGACTTCAACACTTACTACACAGGTACAGTTATCGAGATAGTGTAGTATTGGTGAAAATACAGACAAAGAGATCAATGGAACAGGATAAAGAGCCTAGAAATAGAACTGCGTTAATATAGTAAACTGACCTCTGAGAAAGAAGCAAAGGCAACAAAAGAACAATAGTCTTTTCAACAAATGTTGCTACAACAACTGCACATCTATATGCCAAAAAGAGTCAATCTAGACACAAAACTTACACCTTTCACAAAAATTAACTCAAAATGAATCATAGACCTAAATGTAAAACACAAAACTAGCAAATTCCTAGAAGATAACAGAGAAGATGTAAATGACCTTGGGTTTGGCAATGACTTTTTAGAAGCAACTGTGAGGCATGATCTATGAAAGAAAGAATAGATAAGCTGGACTTTGTTAAAATTAAAAAATGTCTGCTTTGCAAAATATATTTCAAGAGAATGAGAACACAAAACCGAGACTCAGAGAAAATATATTTGCAAAATATATATCTGATAAAGAAGTGTTGTATACAAATAACTCTTACAACTCAACAATAAGGACATGACTCGATTAAAATATGGACCAAAGTCCTTAATAGACAACTTACCAAAGAAGATATACAGATGGCATATAAGCATATGAAAAGATGCTCCATATCATGTGTCATCAGGAAAATGCAAACTGAAATAATGAGATACCCCTATATACTTACTAGAACTGCCAAAATTTGGAGCACTGACAATACCAAATGCTGCTAAGGATGTAGAGCAACAGAAACTCATTCATTGATCATGGGAATGTAATATGGCATAGCCACTTTGGAACACGATTTGGTAGTTTCTCATAAAACTAAACACATTCCTGACATATTATCTAGCAATCACATCCCTTGGTATTTATCCAAAGGAGTTGAAAGCTTATGCCCACCTAAAAACCTGCACATAAATTTTTATAGCAGCTTTATTCACACTTGCCAAAACTTGGCAGCAACCAAGATGTCCTTCAGTAGGTACACGGATAAATAAACCATAGTACATCCAGACAATAGGACGTTATTCAGTGCTAAGGATAAATGAGCTATCCAGCCATAAAAATAAATGGAGGAAAACTTAAATGCATATTATCAAATGAAGGAAGCCAATCTGAACAGACTACATACTGTATTATTCAAACTATGACAGTCAGGAAAAGGCAAAACTGTGAAGATAATAGAAAAGATCTGTGGTTGCCAGGCATTATAGGAGAGTGTGGGGGGAACAGGCAGAGCACAGAAGATTTTTAGTGCAGTGAAACTCTTCCGTGTGATACTATAATGGTGGATACTGGTCATTATACAATGGTCAAACACGTAGAAATGTACAACACCAAGAGTGAACACTAATGTAAACTATGGAAGCTGAGTGATAATGATGTGTCCATGCAAGTTCATCAGTTGTACTAAATGTACTAATCTGGTGGGGGATGTTCATAATGAGGGAGGTTAAGCACATGTAGGGCAGAGGATATATGGAAAATCTCTGCACTTCCCGCTTAATTTTGTCATGAACCTATACCTGCTCTAAAAAATAAAGTCTTTTAAAAATAAATAATTAAATAAATAACAAATAAAATAATATCACTTGTATTTCTATTTACCAGTGATGAACACATGAACAACAAAATAAAAATATGATACCATTTACAATCACTTTAAAAATGAAATACCTAGGCGTAACAACAAAACGGGGCATGTATGCTGAAAACTAGAAAGTGCTGATGCAGGAAATCAAAGATCAAAATAAATGGAGAGACATAATATATTCATGGATTGTAAACAAACTCAGTAAATATGTTAATTTCCTAAAGTTGTTATACAGGTTCAATACAATTGCTATCAAAATCCAAACATGATTGTAGATATTGACAAGATTATTCTAAAAAGTATATGGAAAGGCAAGAGAACTACAATAACTAAAACAATTTTCAAAATAATTAATAAAGTAAGGAATTAATCCACCCAATTTTAAGATTTATTATAGAGCTACAGTAATCCAGAGTGTGTTGTATTGTACAACATGGTGACTACAAGAATGAGAATGTATTGTATTCCTAAAAATTGCTAAGAGACTAGATTTTAAGTATGCTCACCAGAAAAGACTGATGAGTATGTAATACCTGTATTAGTTAGCTCCATTTAGCTATTCTACAATGTAGATATATTTCAAAACAACATGTTGTACAAGATAAATACATACAATTTTTGTCAATTAAAATAAAGAATGTTAAAAACCAAATAAAAATACGTTACAGATTTCATACAACCACAAAAATGTATCAAAATTATACAAAAGAATACAAAAAGACCAAAAACCATCCATCCCATGTTCAGTGTAAAAAACAAACTCTCCTCAACCTCCATATCCCCTGTGTGAAGGTACACTGATGAAGATTGAGGAGTATATGTAATATACAATGAAGAAATATACAATGAGGAAATATGTTACATATTTCCTCATACTCCGAATAGGACACCAGTTTCTATTGAGGAGATTGAGGAGTATAGATTAAACAAAGGAAAGGTGCTGAGAACTGAAACATATTTCCTCATACTCTGAATAGGACACCGGTTTCCCTGAAATCAAGTTCTCTACCTCACTGAGAGACAGTTCCAGTAATCCTTTATTAGGGAGATGGGAAAAAAAGACTGTGTGATATTGGCTGCAGGATGGACACTTATATCACTATGACTGAAGGGAGAACCCAGAAACAGACCCACACAAATATGTCCAACATTTTTAACAAAACAGCAAAAGCAATGCAATGGAGGGAAGATAACCTTTTCAACAAATGGTACTAAAGTGATTGGACATCCATAGGAATAAAAAGAAAGAAAGGAAGGAAAGGAGGATGAAAAGAAGGAAGGGAGGGAAGGAAGGAGGGAGGAAGGAAGTAAGGAAGGAAGGAAGGAAGGAAGGAGGCCCGGTGTGGTGGCTAGTGCCTGTAATCTTAGCACTTTGGGAGGCCAAGGTGGGTGGATCCCTTGAGGCCAGAAGTCTGAGACCAGCCTGGCCAAGAAAACCCCACCTGTACTACAAAATACAAAAATTAGCCAGGTGTGGTCGTGCATGCCTGTAATCCCAGCTGCTTGAGAGGCTGAGGCATGAGAATGACTTCAACCCAGGAGGCAGAGGTTGCAATGAGCTAAGATTGTGTCACTGCACTCCAGCCTGGGTGTGGGCAACAGAGTGAGACTGCCAAAAAAAAAAAAAAGGAAAGAAGGAAAGAAAGAAAAAAGAAAGAAAGCAAGAAAGAAAGCAAGAAAGAAAGAAAGAAAGAAAGAAAGAAGAAAGAGAAAAAGAGAGGAAGGGAAAGGAAAGAAAAAAGGAAAAGGAAAGGATAAAGGAAAAGAAAGGAGAAAGAGAGAGAAAGGAAGGAAGGAAGGAGAAAGAGAAAGAAAGAAAGAAAGAGAAACAGAAAGGGAAAGGAAAGGAAAGAAACAAGGAAAAGGAAAAGATAAAGGAAAGGCAAGGAAAAGAGAAAGAAAAAGAAAGAAAGGAAGAAAGAGAAAGAAAGAAGTGAAGGAGGGATGGAGGGAGAAAGAAAGGGAGGGAGACAAGGAGAGAGGGGGATGTCAATCTAAGATTCACATCTTATACAAAAAATAACTCAAAATGGATGATAGACTTGAATTAAAATGTAAAACTATAAAATTTTAGAAAAAATAGAAGAAATGTTTGCAATCTTGGACTAGGCAAAAAGTCCATATACTTGACACCAAAAGCACAATATATTAAAAGAAGATTGATAAACTGGACTTCACCAAAATGGAAAACCTTTGCTCAGTGAAAGACGCTTTTAAGAGGATGAAGAGACAAGCTGCAGACTGTTAAGAAAATATTTACAGATCACATATCCAATGAAGGGCTAGTATCTAGTATGTATAATGAACTCTCAAAACTTAACAGTCAAAAAAACAGACAATCTAATTAGAAAATGGGCAAAAAATCATTTTTAATTAGTGGAGTATAACATAGTATAAAAATTTTGAATAGACCTTATGTGCAGCCATTGCATTGTTAGTATTTTATAATATTGTGTGGTTTTGGTTCTTGGCGCTGTCTTAATCCCTTCAGGCTGCTATAACAAAATACTGCAAACTGAAGGGCTTAAAAACAACAGAAATGTACTTGTTACAGATCTGGAGGCTGGAAAGTCCAAGAGCAAGACGCCAACAGATGTGGTGTCTTGTGAGGGTCTGCTCTGTGATTCATAGGTGGCACCTTCTGGCTGTCCTCACAGGGTGTAAGGACTAACTAACTCTATGAATCTCTTCTGGGGCTCTAAGGACACTAATCCCAATCATTAGCCTAGGCCCTCGTGGCCTAATTACCT
This sequence comes from Homo sapiens, assembly GCF_000001405.40. Lineage (NCBI taxonomy): Eukaryota > Metazoa > Chordata > Mammalia > Primates > Hominidae > Homo > Homo sapiens. The sequence goes on from NC_000010.11 coordinate 79,582,173, forward strand.
CCCCAAATCCCCATCTCCTAATATTATCACCTGGAGAGTTAAGATTTCAACATATTAATTTGCAGGGACAGCAGAGAGTTCAGCTGGGAGCCAAGGAGGGGGCCGAGGAACATGCCTCTTCAGGCGGTAAACTCACAGATGGCCAGGAAGCAGGAAGTGCAGGAGATGTCATTCCAGAGCCTGTCCTTCAGGAGAATCATGCGGTCCTACCCTGAGCCGTGGTCATTTGGCTCATCCTTCTTCCAGTTGCTGTAGGTCAGCCTCCCACCCGTCAAGTATATGAACTGGCCTTCAGTTGCCTCATCTGTGATGCCCAGGAAGGCAGTGTCTTTGGCCACATCCTGGATGGCCTTATTCTCCTTGGCATTCTTGGGGGCAGCCACTGTGGCCTGGAGCCCAGCACACAGAGCCTTCACTTTGGAGAAAGGCATCCGCTCACCGTTGGTCATGAAAAGCTTCTTCCCAGACATTTTCCCCAAGGAGAAGGCTTACACTGAAACCACAAATGGTGAGTGAGGCTGGCTGGGTTTGGAGCCCAGCACAGGACAGTAGGCAAGCAGTCTGAGTTCCCTGGGAAGCCAGACCTCTGAAAAATCACCCTATGCCCAGCAGTTCAGGCCAGAGCCTGGTCAGGAAGTAAGCCTCAGCTGCAGAGCCTGGGAAGGGGCATCCAGACTCCTGCAGACAGCCCAGACTCCCCTGGGTATCCCACCTTGAAAAAGCATCTGCTAAAACCTGCCCCAGCACAGGTACACATAGGGAGACGGTCTTGGGCCTCACTGCAGGCTTGGGCACCAGGATAAGGAAGAGGCAGGGACAGACATCAGAGCACAGTAGATGACAAGGAAGGAGCACAGACTTTGGAGACAACAGATCTCCATCCAACCCTTCCCCTGCCACTTCCCGGCTGTGTGACCTGAAATGAGTCACTAACACTTCCTGCCCCTCGGTTTCCTCACCTGTCAATAAAGCAAGTTCAACAACCACAACTGAGGTTGCTGAGAGGATTGAATGAAACCATCTTATGGGAAAATGCCACCCAGCACAGGCCCTGGTGTAGGACGAGCGCTCATGAATTAGTTCCCCTCCCACCTCCTCCAAATCTAGGGTGCGCTGAAGAAAAGAGTGAGAGCCAAGAACACATTATGGGCAGAGAGAAAGCTCACACTTCTTCGTGTGGTCCAGTTCTGATCTCAGGCTCTGTAGCTCTCCAAGTTGGCCAGCTTAGCCTCAGCAACTGCAACGCAATAGGGAGAAGGTATTTATGGAGAAGACCTTAATTTGGAGAGTGGAGCATTTTGAAAAAAATGAAGTGGCTTACTAAGACGAATGCTTATTCCAGGAAAATAAGAATGCAGAAGAAATAAAAAGGGGAAAATGACTACATTCCTCCTTCCCAGCTATACCTCCGCATCCCTTCACAACCTGGAACTTCAGTCCTGGACCCCCGTCTCCACATACGGCTTGCATATTGTCATATTGTAAGAATTCATAAGAAAATACTCAACTCATTACTCTTCTTTCTGAAAACTTTTCTTTGTCATTCATTTTCATTTCTCATTCCAGATACACTTTTTAATACCTTTATTGTTTTGACAGGCTGGTAGACAAATATGAATAAGTGGGTTGTCATTGTTCTTTTGTTCTTACTGAATTTGCTCTATTTTACTCTGAACTAAGTTGCTGTGATGTTCTCTGTCAGCCAGGGGTCCTAAGAAGCAGACCATTTTCATGCATTCTTGTGACAATGGACATAAACCCAACCCCTAAAGGGCCTATTTCCTCCCGGGCACCCCAGAGGTGCACACTGGACTGTTTCCGCTGAAGAAAAGCCGGGGCCCATCTGCTAAAGGGCCTGACGAGGGAATAGCCCTACGTGGCTTGAATGTCTGTACCTGGGCACCTATGGGAGTCTCCTCAGGCCCCAGGTAAAGCTGAGAGGGCCGGGGGCACTGGGCCAGGAAGCAGAATTGAGCACCTTCCCACGAGGCAGCAGGAGAAGCAGGAGAAGGGGACCTCCCAGCTGGCCCTCCAGCTCCCCAGGCCCTGGGGCTCCCAGGCCACACATGCTGAGGTATGCCTCTTACCTGAATTGTCCCCATGATCTCCTTTTTGGCTCCTTGGTCCTGGAATTCCAGGAGCCCCTGGGTTTCCTGGGGGCCCCAACTTCCCAGGAGGGCCCTGCAAACCTCTGAGCCCTTGATCTGTTGCAAGACAAAGGGAAGATGACCCAGTGGCCAGCAGTCATTTTTTTTCCAAAAAGCTCAATACTCCATTCATGTTCACCCCCGGAACAGCCAGCAAGCTAATGGTGACCCAAAGAAGAAAGATGCCCCATCCTGCATCCTAGGGGAGGGCCTGCACCAAGGCCAGCTCTCTAACCAGGTGGGACACCCCTCTGTAGGGACAACCACACATCCCCAATTCCTGTGTGGAAATATGGGATCCCAGAGAGTCAGCGAGCAGCTTTGTTTTAGAGGCAATGGCATTTTACAGGGATTGTTCTGAGTGTAGCATGGGTCCTGATGAAAGGGGAGCCTCCCCAAGTCTGTACTCAAACCCTCATTTGGAGGAGACACCTGCTGGAGGTGGAGATTCAGAAAGACACAGACCAAACCTGGATCTCCCTTTTCCCCACTGGGTCCGTCTCACCCATCTCTGCCTGGGATGCATTGGGTCTCCAGCACAGCGCTAGGCAGCTCTCTACATTAGTGTCCTCACCCCATCCTGCACTGCTCCCTCCCAGGCATTTGTCTCCACAGCTAAGCACCTCTGAGCCTCCAGAGTCACAGGTTCTTAGGGTAGCTTTCTCCAGATATTTATTTCCAGAAAAAGCATGCATAGATCTTCCACCAGACAAACGCATGCACACACACACACACGCACACACACACGTACAGGGACACACACACAGATGCACGTGCACATACCTTTGTATCAGTTCAATCGACTACTTCCATTTGTGTTTCGTTTATTGCAGGGCCAGGGTGAGAGACTAAAGACCCCCAGCACTGAGTCACCTCCTTCCTCTCCGCTCATTTAGAACCTTTGCAAATGTCTTGTTTGGGCATCTCACCAGGCCAGGCACAAGGAGAAGGGGTATTTGCAGATGACTTCAATCCACAGCTGAATGTGGGCATTGGCACCTGCTGTTCCCTCTGCCTGGACATGTCCCTGCATCTCTGCATGCTTATTTGTTGTCACTCAGCTTTCAGCTTAAATATTATCTCTGGAGAAAGGTCTTTGCTAACCCGGTAATTTTAAGTAGTCACTCTGTCAGTGAGTTGTAATTCTCTGTTCTAATTTTCTGCCGATTGCTGCTTCCATGTGGGTCTGTTTTGTTTATTTGGTTGCATATTGATTGATCACCCACCCCACCCCTGTAGAACGAGAAGCTCATGAGAACAGGGGTCTTGTTCCCCAGCTGTTCTTTCTCCACCAAGAAGAGTGCCTGGAAACAGAGTCAATACTCAATAAACATTTATGGAACAAATGAATCCTCCAGCAGTGTGTCCTCAAATCAGCCCTCTTCTCTCTGGCTGGAGCTACCATCTGTGCCCCCTTTACCAGTGATCTCACTTTTCTATTCTCAGTTCACCTCTCTGTCCCCAGGGTGCAAACCAGGGCTGGGCACACAGGAGGACTGGGTGCGAGGGAGAGGAGAAAGGCAGAGACCTCAAGCAGACACCAGACCATCTGTGCTCGTCCAGGCCTGAGTTTCCAGAAGCGTCCAGTTCTTGTCGCCAGAGCCTAGTCAAGCTGCCCAGGTCCCGGATACGATCTTTGATGCTTGCCTTCCTCCAAACTCACACCCATTCTTTGAAACACTTCATGTCACCAAACAGCTTGAGAAGTTTGTTTTTCCCAGGTGGGGAGTGGGGTGGGTCACTTCCCTGTGACTCTGCCTTGTGATAGGCATTTTGGCTTCTCAAGGGTCCTCACCCTTGTGTACTCATGTCATCAGGCCCTGTCCAGCGGCCCTCCCGGTTCCCATTCAGGGGGCCTGCCAGGCACCAAGAGGTGCTTCCGTGGTAAAGAAGATCCCTCTCAAGGCTGTGTCTCCTGATGCCATTGACACAATGTTGAAGAGCCCATAGGCCCAGAGGACAAAGGACTTTCAATTCGCTCAGCAAATAGGCAGACCTCTGAGGAAGGTGGGAATGTGAAACTGACAGATTTGCGTTGAACCAGTATGCTAACTGTGCTGCAGAGTTAGAGAAAGGGTGGTTTGAGCGGGAAGAGGGTAGACAGGAAGTAAATACACCTAGGAGCAAAGGAACCTGAGAAAGCCTGGATTCTGGAGGGGATAAGATTATCCCCCAAGGATGTGTACCCATAGGTCTGTCCTCTCATAGACCTGGGGATGAATTTATGTTGCTATTACGACTATTACAGAATTCTGCTATTTATGCCAAGATGAAAAATTATGTTTCCAGTGTCTCAGCGTGGCATGATCTCCCGCACTGTGGAGACATAAACGCAGTGGAGAATCACACCCGTAGCCCAGGCACCTCAGTGGTGTCTCAGATGGAGGCCAGGCAGATTTGAGTTCACCATGGGACAATTACCAAATATAGTAGGGGACAAACAGAGTGAGAGCTGATAGATATGACAAACCTCAGAAATAGCCCTACAAGGAGTGTGGACCCTACCTGACAGATAAATTAATATGCACTTCAAAAGAGGGTATAATGAAGGAATGAATGAAAATTATATAATTAAATTAATAAACAAAAATAACTATAGAGCTAATAAAATAGAATACTGGTTCTTTGTAAGAGACATAAACTTAGCAGATATGGCCATGGTAGTTTGGGTTGTTTCCTCCATGTTGTAAAATTACATCTCAGGCCCTTTGCCATAGGACTTCACAAAGGCTCCCACTGGAGTGTGAGGAGTAAACACTCCAGCCCCTTTGCTGTTTGGTGTGGCCATGTGACCCTGAGCTGAAACGAAGGGAGCAGCAGCTTAACGTGTGCTTACAGGTTTGCTATGGCCTTTGTGTTTCTTTCCCAATCATGAGAAGTATGTATCCCTGGAAAGTGATATGGAACAGTCATGAATTCACCTGAAAGTCTGGAGTCCAGCTGACTGCTGCTGAATCCAGGCCCACTCAGCTGAAATCAGCCAAAGCTCAACAAACTGGAAGATCCAGAGCAGAAAATAAAACGTTTACTGTTGTAAGCTCTTGAGAGGGAAATTTACTGTTGTGTTAGCTGACTGATACAATATCAATGATTAATAGAAAAGGTATAAGAAATTAACAAATCAGCCCAGGCACAGTGGTTCACTCCTGTAATCCCAGCACTTTGGGAGGCCGAGGCAGGCAGATCACCTGAGGTCAGGAGTTCAAGACCAGCCTGGCAAACATGGTGAAACCCCATCTCTACTAAAAATACAAAAATTAACTGGACATGGTGGTGCATGCCTGTAATCCCAGCTACTTGGGAGGCTGAGGCAGGAGAATTGCTTGAATCTGGGAGGGAAAGTTGCAGTGAGCCGAGATCGTGCCACTGTACTCCAGCCTGGGCTACAGAACGAGACTCCATCTCAAACAAACAAACAAACAACAACAACAACAAACAAATCAGGGGGAAAAGGGATTATTATACTAGTACAGATAGTACTGACATTATAAAATCACACTATGTACAGTTAATTTTATAGCAACATATGGAAAATTGGTAAAATCTATATTATAAGAAAGTTTAGTATTATTTAAGTTGGCTCAAGAATAACTGATATATCAGAGTAATTGATATATCACTAATCATAAAATATAGAAATGGAAGTCAAAAATTAACAACCATACCTCCATCAACAAAATGGTTTTAAGGTGAGTTGTATCAAATCTTCAGAGAAGAAATTACTACTCTCTTATAGAAATGGCTTGTATCCAAAATACTACTTAGCTGAGATGATTAGCTGAACATGTAATTCAGAATGGATAAGGATTGAAGAAAAGAAGGGAACTTTTAGAAAATCTAATTTATAAGCAGAGAGGCAAAAACACAATTTAAAAAATAACTATTAAAAGTGCTGGGATTACAGTCATGAGCCACTGTGCCTGGGCTGATCTGTTAATTTCTTATACCTTTTGTATTAATCATTGATATTGTATCAGTCAGCTAACACAACAGTAAATTTCCCTCTCAAGCGCTTACAACAGTAAAGTCCAGCCCTGTATTCATGGTTAATAGCAGTCTCTGGAATCTGACTTCCTACATTCATTGGCCCAAGAACTAGCTGCATAATATTTGGCAAATCACTTTAACCTCTATATCCCTTGACATTCTTATTTGTAAATAGGGGAGAATAATAACATCTGTAAAATAGGGTTAATAAGTTTAACTAGTATAGTGCCTGGCCCATAGGATGTGTGATGAGCATATATAGCATCAGACCAAGTCGGGTATATCCAAGGGATGCAAGGATGGCACAACATCAAAAAATAAATCGATGCAAATCACAGTTTAATAAATAACAGGTTTTATTAAGAGCCTAATTCAGATCCGTGCAATCTTGAAGCTTGAAGCCTGTTCCCAAAACTAGTACATGGTCTGAAAATTCTTCATACATTTTTTTCCCAGACTCCTGTAATGCAAACTTTCTAGGGTTGATTTCAAACACAGTCCAAACAGATGACATTGTCCTCCAGTTTTGTCATTTCACCACTCAGGCCATAGAGTTGTGGCTCAGATTGAAGCTGTTGCTTCTTGAAGTGAAGGGTGTGCAGTGGCCTGCTCTCTTATTTCTTTGCATGTGCAGGGGGTAGAGAGAATGCTGTTGGTGCCAATGTTGGGCAATATCTGCTCACAAGAGGAACCACATGTCAGTAGGTACACTACTGCCTCTCAGCCCACACTGACTGGTTGTTGGGGACCTTTGTGTGACTGATTACAAATGACAGCTCCTTTCAGCAGCTGGTTCTTCAGGAAAGAGACTCAATGATTGCCTCTAGCTGCATGTCCCTTACCCTCACCATTGCACCAGTACACATTTCAGTCCATAATATCTTGTTGCTGGGATCCCTGAGTTCCAGGAAGCAACTTGCTCATGAGTAGGGTGTGAACCCCAGGCAGCTCCTGTGATACTGGCATTCACACAGCCCCCTAGGAGACTCAGTCCACGGTGCTGCAATCCACATTGCCCCAGAACACTCCTGGTCACAGCTTTGTCCTTCCTCCTCTTCTCCCCATGCTCCATAAAATCAGTCCATCTGCTGGGTCCAAATGTCAGAATTTTACAAGAGATAACCAAAACAGTGCATTTGGTGCAGCACACCAACATGGCATATGTATACATATGTAACAAACCTGCACGTTGTGCACATGTACCCTAAAACTTAAAGCATAATAATAATAAAAATAGAACTAGAGAAGCAAGAGCAAACACATTCAAAAGCTAGCAGAAGTCAAGAAACAACTAAGATCAGAGCAGAAATGAAGGAGATAGAGACACAAAAAACCCTTCAAAAAATCAATGAATCCAGGAGCTGGTTTTTTGAAAAGATCAACAAAATAGATAGACCACTAGCAAGACTAATAAAGAAGAAAAGAGAGAAGAATCAAATAAATGCAATAAAAATTATAAAAGGGATATCACCACCGATCTCACAGAAATACAAACTACCATCAGAGAATACTATAAACACCTCTACGCAAATAAACTAGAAAATCTAAAAGAAATAGATAAATTCTTGGACACATACACCCTCCCAAGACTAAACCAGTAAGAAGTTGAATCTCTGAATCGACCAATAACAGGCTCTGAAATTGAGGCAATAATTAATAGCCTACCAACCAAAAAAAGTCCAGGACCAGATAGATTCACAGCCGAATTCTACCACAGGTACAAAGGGGAGCTGGTACCATTCCTTCTGAAACTATTTCAATCAATAGAAAAAGAAGGAATCCTCCCTAGCTCATTTTGTGAGGCCAGCATCATCCTGATACCAAAGCCTGGTAGAGACACACACACACAAAAGAGAATTTTAGGCCAATATCCCTGATGAACATTGATGCAAAAATCCTCAATAAAATCCTGGAAAACTGAATCCAGCAGCACATCAAAAAGCTTATCCACTATGATCAAGTCGGCTTCATCCCTGGGATGCAAGGCTGGTTCAACATATGCAAATCAATAAACATAATCCATCACATAAACAGAACCAATGACAAAAATCACATGTTTATCTCAATAGATTCAGAAAAAGCCTTCAACAAAAACAGCCCTTCATGCTAAAAACTCTCAATAAACTAGGTATTGATGGAATGTATCTCAAAATAATAAGAGTTATTTATGACAAACCCACAGCCAATATCATACTGAATGGGCAAAAACTGGAAGCATTCCCTTTGAAAACTGGCACAAGACAAGCTTGCCCTCTCTCAGTACTCCTATTCAACATAGTGTTGGAAATTCTGGCCAGGGCAATCAGGCAAGAGGAAGAAATAAAGGGTATTCAATTAGGAAAAGACGAAGTCAAATTGTCTCTGTTTGCAGATGACATGATTGCATATTTAGAAAACCCCATTGTCTCAGCCCAAAATCTCCTTAAGCTGATGAGCAACTTCAGCAAAGTCTCAGGATACAAAATCAATGTGCAAAAATCACAAGCATTCCTATACGTCAATAATAGAGAGGCAAATCATGAGTGAATTCCCATTCACAATTATTACAAAGAGAACAAAATACCTAGGAATCCAACTTACAGATGATGTGAAGGACCTCTTCAAGGAGAACTACAAACCACTTCTCAACAAAATAAAAGAGGACACAAACAAATGGAAGAACATTCCATGCTCCTGGATAGGAAGAATCAATATCGTGAAAATGGACACACTGCCCAAAGTAACTTATAGATTCAATGCTATCCCCATCAAGCTACCACTGACTTTCTTCACAGAATTGGAAAAAACTACTTTAAGTTCATATGGAACAAAAAAAGAGAAGGCATTGCCAAGACAATCCTAAGCAAAAAGAACAAAGCTGGAGGCATCATGCTACCAGACTTCAAACTATACTACAAGGCTACAGTAACCACAACAGCATGGTACTGGTACCAAAACAGATAGATAGACCAATGGAACAGAGCAAAGACCGCAGAAATAACACCACATATCTACAATCATCTGATCTTTGATATGCCTGACAAAAACAAGCAATGGGGAAAGGATTCCCTATTTAATAAATGGTGCTGGGAAAACTGGCTAGCCATATGTAGAAAGCCGAAACTGGATCCCTTCCTTATACTATACAAAAATTAACTCAAGATGGATTAAAGGCTTAAATGTGAGACCTAACACCATAAAAACCCTAGAAGAAATCCTAGGCAATACCATTCAGGACATAGGCATGGACAAAGACTTCATGACTAAAACACCAAAAGCAATGGCAACAAAAGCCAAAATTGACTGACAGATGGGATCTAATTAAACTAAAAAGCTTCTGCATGGCAAAAGAAGCTATCATCACAGTGAACAGGCAACCTACAGAATGGGAGAAAATTTTTGCAATCTACCCATCTGACAAAGGGCTAGTATCCAGAATCTACAAAGAACTTAAACAAGTTTACAAGAAAAAAACAAACAACCCCATCAAAAAGTGGGCAAAGGATATAAATGGACACTTCTCAAAAGAAGACATTTATGCAGCCAACAGACATATGCAAAAATGCTCATCATCACTGGTCATCAGAGAAATGCAAGTCAAAACCACAATGAGATACCATCTCATGCCAGTTAGAATGGTGATCATTAAAAAGTTAGGAAACAACAGGTGCTGGAGAGGATGTGGAGACACAGGAATGCTTTTACACTGTTGATGGGAGTGTAAATTAGTTCAACCATTGTGGAAGACAGTGTGGCGATTCCTCAAGGATCTAGAACTAGAAATACCATTTGACCCAGCAATCCCATTACTGGGCATATACCCAAAGGATTATAAATCATGCTACTATAAAGACACATGCACACATATGTTTATTGCAGCACCATTCGCAATAGCAAAGACTTAGAACCAACCCAAATGTCAATCAATGATAGACTGGATTAAGAAAATGTGGTGCATATGCAACATGGAATACTATGCAGCCATAAAAAAGGATGAGTTCATTTCCTTTGCAGGGACATGGATGAAGCTGGAAACCATCATTCTGAGCAAGCTATCACAAGGACAGAAAACCAAACACCGCATGTTCTCACTCATAGGTGGGAGTTGAACAATGAGAACACATGGACACAATGTGGGGAACGTCACACACTGGGGCCGGTTGCGGGGTGGGGGCCTGGTGGAGGGATAGCATTAGGAGAAATACCTAATGTAAATGACGAGTTGAGGGGTGCAGCAAACCAACATGGCACATGTATACCTATGTAACAAACCTGCACGTTGTGCTCCTGTACCCTAGAACTTAAAGTATAATAAAATATATATACATATAACAGAATCAGTTATATTAGAAGTATTGGGGGAAAATGAGAATCCAAAAGATGGTTGGGTATAAGATCAACAAACAGAAATTAAGAGTTTTTTTTTTAACAAATCAGCAATAATTAATTTAAAATCTAATAAAAATAGTAACAATAGCAAATAAAAGCATAAAGAAAGTAAAAATAATACTAATAAGAAACAAGAAGATATCAATTTTCAGAGGCTTGAAGTATTTGTCTATAAAATTGGGACTATACACGGTCCTGGATTTTTGATGGTTTGACTTACAATTTATCAACTTTACAATGGTTCAAAAGTGATGTGAATTCAGTAGAAGCCACACTTCGAGTACACATACAATTATTCATTCACTTCCAGTACAGTATTCAATAAAGTCCATGAGATAGTCAATACCTTATTATAAAATAGGCCATGTATTAGATGATTTTGCCCAGCTGCAGGCTAATGTAGTGTTCTGGGCATGTTTAAGGTAGTTTAAGTTAAGCTATGATTTTTGATAGGTTAGGTGTATTAAATGCATTCCCAACTTATGATATTTTCATCTTACACTGTATTTATCATGATATAACCCTATCATAAGTCAAGGAATATCTGTATATCCTTCTTCTTCTTTTTAAAATAATTTGGGGGAGGCCTCAATAATTTGTGTGCTGCATCCTAAGTGCATGCAGAATGGTGATCAGATTAAAATTTTTCATTCATAAAAGACTGAGAAATTGTTCCCCTTATTCTCATTGGTTTTCTGAGTGTTGATTCAGAGCTTCCTTCCACCCAAGAAAAGCATAAATGCCAAAGAAGAGTGTTCACAGGCGTTGAGGGTGGAGAAGTGGGAGCCTTTCTGGGACAGTGTTACAGGAGAGAAGTGGGAGGTGGGACACATATGTAGCTGCCTCCTCAAGCAAGTAGGGACATGGTCTCATTCCTGCACAGCCCTGGGGTATGGGAGTGTGGTCCCATTCCATGCTGACCTGAAATTAGGATGACTCACTGAGGCCTGGGACTGAGCCCTGAGTACCACCATCACTGCTGGGCTGCAGAAATCATTCAGGTAGCTGTGTGGAGGACAGAAGGCATGGTATCCCCACCCACAAATGGACCATGTGGATTCATGATGCCCATGTGTTCTTCCAAATGGTGTCTGTAGCTCCCCATTCTCCTGCACCATCTCAGGGAGGAGAGCAGTTGGCCCCTCCCATCAAACAAAGAAAGCACATCTTGAGATTGAATTTTCCAATCTTGAGGAAAGTGGGGGCTCAGAGCCAGGGTTCATTTGACTTACAAAAATACAGAAATGTGATATTTCTTGGAACCAGAACAGAGGAAACACATATGAAAATATTGACGATTTATTACATACATTTAAGTCTTCTTTGTTCAGCTCAGGGCTGGGGTGGCTGGGAGTATGAGCTTCAGATCCAGGAAGATTGGTTTGGATCCAGCCTCTGCCACTTGCTCTCTAGAATAATACTCAAAACATTTCACTCCTCCAAGCTTCAGTGTCCTTATAAAAAAAATGGGGAAAACAATACTGGCCCCATGACATTGTGTGAAGATTGAATAATACGTAATAAGCTATATTAGAATTGCTTGTCAAGGTGTGTGGCACATGGTATGTGCTCAGTCAATAGCCTCTGTGTGTAGTAACGGCTCTGGTGGTAATTTTGCTAGCTGAGGGTAATGGTAATAATTGTGACAACAACAAGTATTTTATCCCCATTTTATAGATGAAGACATAGGCTCAGGGAAAAAAATCCCCAAGAGTCACCAGTTAGCTTGCCTACCTCAAGACACATCCTAAGACCTGGCCCATGTTAATTTTAATGATTATCTGGGTGAATAGATTAATGAAAGGGGAAAGTGGAGCCGGTGGTGTGGGGGGTGGTGTGAATGCCCACTGAAGTCTCAAGTAGGGTGCAGATTCGTCCATCAGCAGAAAATTACTTGGATCACGTCTGCAGTGGGGGGCTCTTCCCTAGAGGCATAGGCCAGCTGCCTTCAGGTCAGGGGACTGAGTTGGCATCCAAAGACTCAAAGGAGTGAATCGTACATGTCAGTCACAGGGTTGGCTTGGGCACCACCATTCTGGGGCACCACTGGGCCCTCTGACCACCTGGAGAGCCTGACCAGGCCTGCCACAGAGACCTCAGAGTGCCAGAGAATCTCCACTGTGTCCTTAGCTCCACACAGTTAGGACTTCTCTGAAGTCTGCCTCTCTCTGTCATTATGCTTGGCTGGGACTGCTCATCCTGATGGCACTGGGCTGCAGAGGGAGAGCTAAGGGCACCAGGAAGCAGGCACTCTGTGTGACTTCGGAGGGTCCTTCTACCCCAAGACCTCACTGCTACCATCTGTAAGTGAAGGAACTGGACCAGATAGAGAATAAGGAGGGTTGCATCTCATGCCAAAGGCAAAGGTTAGGAGTGGCTGCCTGGGGTGCAGTGCTGGGAGGGTTTGCAAGGGGAGTGTCAAGGCTGGTCAGTGATTATGGGGAAGAGTCAGGGCCCATCAGGGGAATGAAGTAGCTAAGGGTGCCTCCAGCTCTAATAGCCACAAGTGAATTCTGTTGAAAGGGAGTTTCAGCATCTCACAAACCAAGTGGAGCTTCAGGATGGAGGCTGAAGGCCAGACAGGATCCTCCCTGTCCTGTGGCATAAATTCCTCTCAGAACTCACAGATGATCAGTCAGTACCGCAGGCAGCTCCTGTCATTCCACTGTGTACATCTCCAAGCACTTCTCATTGCCCTGACCTATGAGCTCCCCTGGGCACCGGTTCGTGTAGTCCACAGGGGCCTCATCTAGGTAGCAGAAGTCTCCAGGGCTGGGACCCTTGGCCAGGGCCATGTAGGCATACATGTTGTACTTCTTCAAAAATCTTGCAATGGCCTCGTTTTCCTCTGGACTCCTAGGGACAGCAATGCAGCTGCCTGCTCTGGCACATGCCTCACTAATGGCATCTAAATAGACCAACTGCCTGTTTGTGAAGAAGACCTTCTCTCCCACTGCCGGTATGGAGCCCTGAAGACTGAGGGCTGAGAGCAGAGGAGTCTGGGTCAGGCCTCTGATCACTTTGTCTCTAAGCCACCTCCCTCACCTGGGCTGTCTGCCATCAGGCTCTCTGCAGCCTCTCCATCTCTGCCTCTGTGTCGTTTGTCCCTCCCCCAATCCTAGTTTTCCAAATTCTCTTCTAGGCTCTCATCCATTTATTCATTAATCTATTTAACAATTACTTATTGCCAGAAATGGTGCAATTTTCTGGGATTCAATAGAAAGCAAGATTAGGCAGAGACCTTGCTTTCCTAAGTCATTAGGAGTGGATCGTGTATACTTCTGTCATCTCTGGGCCATTCAGAAACATCAGAAAAGGCAACCATCATTCCTTTCCGAAGACCTGAATGTCCACACTCTTCTCTTCATCAAAAGGATATGACAACTGTAAATATATATGCACCCAACACCAGAACACCAAGATAAAAACAAATATTATTAGATGTAAAAGGAGAGACAGACTCCAATACAATAATAATTGGGGACTTCAACAGTTTACTCTCTGCAGTGTTAGATCATTTAGACAGAACATCAACAAAAAAAAGTTGGTTTAAACTGTGTTGCAGACCAAACGGACCTAACAGACATTTGCAGAATATTTCATCTGACAGCTACAGAATACCCATTCTTCTTATCAGCACATGGAACATTCTCCAGGATACATTGTTTTAGGCTACAAAGTAAGAATCAATGAATGAAAATATTAAAATGATATCAAGAACTTTTTTGACCACAATGGAGTAAGAAGGAAATTTAAAAATTTCTCAAAACAAATGAAAATGGAAGCACAACATACCAAAACCTATGGTAGACAACACAAGCAGTGGTAAGAGGGAAATTTATAACATTACATGCCTACATCAGAAAAGTAGAAAGATTTCAGATAAAAACTAAAATGCATCTTAAGGAACTAGAAAAGCAAGAAAAAAGCCAAACCCCAAATTAGTAAAAAGAGAGAAATTTTAAAAGTTGGAGCAGAGGCTGGGCGCTGTGGCTCACACCTGTAATCCCAGCACTTTGGGAGGCCATGGTGAGTGGATCACCTGATGTCGGGAGTTTGAGACCAGCCTGACCAACATGTTGAAACCCTGTCTCTACTAAAAATACAAAAAAATTAGCTGGACATGGTGGCGGACACCTGTAATCCCAGCTACTCCTGAGGCTGAGGCAGGAGAATCGCTTGAACCCGGTAAGCAGAGGTTATGGTGAGCCAAAATTGGACCATTGTACTCCAGTCTGGGCAACACAGTGAGACTCCATCTCAAAAAAAAAAAAAAAAAAAGGAGTGGAAATAAACAAAAAGTAGAGTAAAAAAGTAGTACAAAATATCAACAAAATGAAAAGTTGGGGAATTTTTTGTTTGTTTGTTTGAGACAAGATCTTGCACTGTCACCCAGGATGGAGTGCAGTGGCATGATCATGGCTCACTGCAGCCTTCAACTCCTGTGCTCAAGTGATCCTCTTGCTTCAGTCTTCTGAGTAGCTGGTACTACAGGCATGTGTCATCACACAAGGCTAAGATTTTTTTTTTAGTTTTTCAAAGACAAGTTTTTGCTGTGTTTCCCAGGCTGGTCTCAAACTCCTGGCCTCAAATGATCCTTCTGCTTTAACCTCAGTGCTGGAATTACATGCATGAGGCACGATGCCCAGCTGAAAAGTTGGGTTTGTGAACAAATAAACATAATTCGCAAACCATTAGCTAGAAAATGTAAGAAAAAAAGAGAGAAGACCTATACAAAAATCAGAAACAAGAAAGGAGACATTATAACTGATACCACAGAAAGACAAAGGATCATTAAAGACTTCTATAAACAACTATGTATCAACAAATGGGAAAGCCTAGGGGAAATGGATAAATTTCTGGATTCATACAACCTACTAAGATGAAACCAGGAAGAAATGGAAAGCCTGAACAACTAGAAATGAGTAATGAGGTTTAATCAGTAACAAAAATCTCCCATCAAAGAAAACTCTGGGACTGGAAGGCTTCACTGCTGAATTCTACCAAACTTTTAAAGAAGAAATAACACCAATTATTTTCAAGCTATTTAAGAAAATTGAAGGGGGAGAAATTCTTCCAAACTCATTCCATGGGGCTACCATTATCCTGATACCAAAACCAGACAAAGACACAACGTTACCACAACACCAGGGGTTCAGTCTAAGTCCCGCTGCTCGCCACACTGAAAACCAATCACTGAGACAATGAGCATTGCCAAGGAAAAGGGCTTCAATTGAGTTCTGCTGCCAAAGAGATGGGTGATCAGTCTCAAATCCATCTCCCTGACCTGCTAAAATTAGGTTATATAGCAGTGAAGAAATGTAACCATGTGTGGGATAACAGGAATCAGGGAGGGCTAAAAAAGAGGAGTGGTCAACAGGAAGCAGGTGGTCAGTTAAGCAGTCATGACAGGTAATAAGTCTGATGTCTCATCCAAATGCAGTGATCTGGTGAGTTTCAACTCCTTAATACTGTCTGGGAGAGCTGATGGTTGTTTTCCCAAGAAAGGAACTCAGATAAGATAAACGTAACTTTTTCAAGTTTTTAAGACTAGGAGGATCAGTTTCTATGCTTATTCAAAGAAACTATAAACATCAACTCTATGAGACAACTGGATAGGTTTTCAGGGTTCAACTTAGGTAAATCAATTAATGTGATACATTTTACATCAACAGAATGAAGGAGAAAACTACGTAATCATCTCAACAGATGCAGAAAAAGCATTTGAAAAAATTTAACATCCTTTATCATAAAAATGCTCAACAAATCAGGTGTAGAAGGAATGTATTTCAAAACAGTTAAGGCCATATATGACAAATGCACAGCTACCATCATACTGAATGGGGAAAATTTTAAAGCTTTTCCTCTAAGATCTTGTACAAGACAAGGATGCCCACTTTCACTACTCTTATTCAAGATAGTATTAGAAATTCAAGCCAGGGCAACCAGTCAAGAGAAAGAAATAAAGAGTATCCAAATTGGAAAGGAGGAAATAAAATTATCCCTGTTTGCAGACAACACAATCTTGTATATAGAAAATTCTAAGTACTCCACCAAAAAACACTTAAATCTAGTAAATGAATTCAGTAAAGTTGCAAAATACAAAATCAACATGCAAAAATCAGTAGCATTTCTATAAATCAATAATGGGCTAGCTGAGAAAGAAATAAAAAAATCAGTCCGATTTACAATGGCTACAAAAAGTGAAATATCTAGGAGTAAGTTGAATGAAGGAGTGAAGAATCTCTACTAGGAAAACTATAAAACACTGAAGAAAAAAACTGAAGAGGATACAAAAAAACAGAAAACACTAAAGAAAAAGAACTGAAGAGGATACAAAAAAATGGAAAGACATCTCATGTTCAAAGCTTGGAAGAATTAATATTGATAAAAATGACCTTACTACCCAAAGTGATCTACAGATTCAATGCCATCCCTATTAAAATACCGATGACATTCTTCACAGAACAAGAAAAAATAATCCTGGACAGGTGTGGTGGCTCACGCCTATAATCCTAGCACTTGGGAGGCTGAGGCAGAAGGATTGCTTGAGGTCAAAAATTCAAGACCAACCTGGCCAACATAGCGAGACCCCATGTGTTGCAGGAAGTCAGGGACCCCGAACGGAGGGACCGGCTGAAGCCATGGCAGAAGAACATAAATTGTGAAGATTTCATGGACATTTATTACTTCCGCAATCAATACTCTTGTGATTTCCTATGCCTGTCTTTACTTTAATCTCTTAATCTCGTCGTCTTTGTAAATTGAGGATGTATATCCCCTCAGGACCATGTGATGATTGCATTGACTGCACAAATTGTTTGTAGAGCATGTGTGTTTGAACAATATGAAATCTGGGAACCTTAAGATCAGGGTAACAGCGATTTTCAGGGAACAAGGGAGATAACCTTAAAGTCTGGCTGCCTGTGGGCTGGGCAGGACAGAGCCATATTTCTCTTATTACCGAAAACGGATAAGATAAATATAACTGAATTATTTCGGTAAGGAATATTAATAATTTACTGCCCTGGGAAAAGAATGCATTCCCGGGGGGGCCTCTAAAATGGCCGCCCTGAGAATGTCTGCCTTATGCAGATGTAGATAGGGATGAAACACGCCCTAGTCTCCTGCAGCATCCCCAGGCTTGCTAGGATTTAGGAAATTCCAGCCTGGCGAATTCTAGTCAGACCAGTTCTCTGCCCTTGAACCCTGACAATGCGTGCACAGCGGGACATGGAAGTTCATTAGTGATTCTAGTTTTGCCCTGACCTTCTGCCTTGTGATCTTTTGTTGCCCTTGAAGCATGTGATCTCTGTGACCCGCACCCTACTCCTACACTCCCTCACTTTTGAAAATTGCTAATAAAAACTTGCTGCTTTTACAGCTCAGGGGGCATCACAGAACCTGCCAACATGTGATGTCTCCCCCGGACACCCAGCTTTAAAAATTTCTCTTTTGTACTTTTTCCTTTTATTTCTCAGACTGGCCGACACTTAGGGAAAATAGAAAAGGACTCATGTTGAATTATTGGGGGTGGGTTCCCCCGATACCCATGTTTATTTTAAAAAAATGAAAAAGAAAAAAATCATAAAGTTTGTGTGGAACTATAAAACACCAAGTAGTCAAAGTAATCCTGAGCAAAAAATGAAAAGTTGAAGGCATCACATTACCTGACTTCATAATGTACTACAAATCTATGATAACCAAAACAGCATAGTACTCGTATAAAAACAGATGCATAGACCAATGGAACAGAATAGAGAACACAGAAATAAATTTACATATTTATAGCCAACTGATTTCTGGCAATGGCACCAATAACATACATTGGGGGAAAGGACAATAAATGTTCAATAAATGGTGCTGGGAAAACTGAATATTCATATGCAGAAGAATGAAACTAGACCCCTATCTCTTATACATTAAAAAAAAACATGAAATGGATTAAAGCCTTAAACATAAGACCCAAAGGTATGAAACTAGTAGGAAAAAGCATAGGAGAAGTGCTTCAGGATATTGGTCTGGATGAAGATTTTATGGAGAGACCTCAAAAGTACTGGGAACAAAAACCAAAAATAAGCCAATATGGTTATATCAAACTAAAAAGCTTCTGCACAGAAAAGAAAACAATCAACTGAGTGAAGAGACGGCCTGCAGAGTGGGAGAAATATCCACAAGCTATTCATCCAATAAGGGATTAATATCCTGAATATAAAAGGAACTCAAACAATTCCACAGCAAAACATTCAAATAATCCAATTTAAAAATAGGCAAATGATCTGAACAGACACTTCTCAAAAGAAGACATAAAAATGGCCACGTATATAAATGACACTCAATATCTTTATTCCTAAGATAAATGCAAATGAAACCAAAATAAATTATCTCACCCCAGGTAGACTGGCTTTTATCAATAAGACAAAAAAGAATAAATACTGGTGCGGGTGCAGAGAAAAGGGAACTCATACACTGTTGGTGGAAATGGAAAGTACTACAGCCATTATGGAAAGCAAAATGAAGCTTTCTTGAAAACCTAAAACTAGAACTATCATATAATCTAGCAATCCCACTACTGGGTATTCAAAGAAAAGGAACCCAGTATGTTAAAGAGGTATCTACCCTCCTATGTTTATTGCGGAGCTATTCATAATAGCCAAGATATGGAATCAACCTAAGTGTCTATCAGTGAATGAATGGATTTAAAACATGTAGTAACTAAACACAATGGAATACAGTTCATCCATAAGAAAGAATAAAATTCTGCCATTCATAGCAACATGGGTGAGCCATTATGTTAAGTGAAATAAAGCCAGGAAAAGAAAATTAAACACAGCATGTTCTCACTCATTTGTGGATGCTAAGAAAACTTAGTTAATCTCATAGAAGTAAACATAGAACAGTAAGTAAACAGTAGAACAGAATATATTAGAGGCTGGGAAGATTAAGGGGAATGAGAAATGGGAAAGGTGGGGCAATGGGTACAAAATTACAGCTAGATAGGAGAAATGAGTTGTAGCCTTCTTTAGCGCTGTAGGGTGACCATAGCCAACAAAAAAATTATGTATACTTTCAAATAGCTAAAAGAGAGGATTTTGAATGTTATCAACACAAAACAGTAAGTTTTTGAGGTGATGAATATGCTGCTTACCTTGATTTCATCATTGCACGTTACATACATGTATCAAAATAGTCCACTGTGCCCATATGTATGTAAAATAATTGTGTCAAAAATAACATTTTTTAAATTAAAAAGATAGTAAAGAATATATTACCAGAAGTAAAAACAAACAAACTCCAAGAAAAGACTATAGTTACAATTATATCCCTATGTGTCAATCTGAAAAGATGGCTGGCATATGTAAGAGAAAACACTAATTGTAGAACAGTATATGCAGTATGATCTTATTGGTGCAAAGTAAGAGAATGTGTGTGTGTGTGTCTGCACGTGTGTGTTCCTGAGCCTATTTCTTTGAAGACAGTTGCTGCCACCTGCCAGTTTCAATTCCTCCAAGGTGCAGAATGGGAAAACCTCTCTCCCTCTCCTCAAAACCTCAGTAAAGCATGATGTATTTCTCTGGGGTTTGGAAGGTTCAAAATGTTCAGGGCAGAAAGAAGGGTGACAAGGCTGCATTGGCAAAAATGAAAATAAAAACAAGTAATGTGATTTTTAAGGCAAATTGGATGCTATTTCTAGGCAACAGAAATATATTTACAGTGTTATTCTTTTTAAAAATAAAATGGCATTATTAGAGAGGCATCAATGTAATATATATGTATGTAAACATACAGCACACAATATATGTGTGTGTATATATATGTATATAATGCATACACACATATTTGCTTAGTTTGCTGGCTGCCTCAGCAAAGAAAAGCCTCAACTTCCATCCCCTTCATGTGGCTGAGCTGTCCCTTAGATTCTGACATTATAAGCGATTTTGAAATATATCCATGATTAGTAAATTAATTTGTGCATTCCCTTGTCTTCATGTACAGGTAGAATAAGCATGTTCCTCTGACTCTGGGAAGGTTCTAGCAGAGGACTGAGCTGGAAAGAAGATTTCTGGTAATTCTGGCAATCCATGTAACCCCTGTCATCCTCAGCTGACTGAAGTATGGAATGGGGATTTACTCTCTGTACAACTCATAGAGTGCTGTGATGATCCAAAGTGACAGAAAGATCCAGCAGTCACAGACAGCCTCCTCCTACTGCTAGCACCCAGGGCAGCTGGAAAAGGGGGCAGGGGAAGGGTCCCCTGAGCACTAAGAGAGAGGCCTCAAATATGCAGAGAAGCCCATGCACTGTCCTTAGTGCCTGTACATGGCCTCCACTCTGCACCCCTTTGAAACGGGAGAGTCCCCTGATCCCCCTCACAGGATGCATGACAGGGGTGTGGCTCACCTGTTTGGTTGCCCCACTGCTCAAACCCCTAGGGGGAGCATGCAGATGGGCAGGTTCAGAGGCTGGGGTGAGTGCTTTGGGCTCCAGCTGTTCAGTAGAGTCTAGGGATGGGTGCCTGTAATCCTGGTGTTACAAAACTCTTTCAGTTTTGCATACGCAGGTGGCTTGAGTGTTAATCAGCTCAATGGACCCTCTGCCTTATCCTAAGGGCAGAGGGCCTGTGTGACAGCTTTCTGTATCCCAAGCTTTCACCCAGCATCCTGGAAGAATCAGATCACATGTGGGCTTGAAGGATGAGTGCAAGATTTTATTGAGTGGTGGAGGTGGCTCTCAGTGAGATGGATTGGGGACTGGAAAGGGAAATGGAGTGGGAAGGTGATCTTCCCTTGGAGGCGGGCCATCCAGTAGCTGGTATCTTCTCCGATCGCCCCTGGGCAAACTCCCCTCAGTGTTCAGATGTTCCTCCTCTTCTCTCTCTCTCTGCCACGTCGTTCCACTGTCCATCTGCTTGTCTGCTAGTCTGCTGGTCTGCTTCTGGAGCCTGGGGTTCAAGGTTTATATGGTTGCAGGATAGGGGTTGTGGCAGAACAAAAGGCAACTTTTTGGTCATGAAAACAGAAATGTCTTTTCTCATTTAGGGCCACAGGTCTTCAGGCTTGAGGGTGGGGTCTTTGTTGGGGAGTCACCCTTTTTTTACCCAGTGTGTCACTGTCTCCTGTCATTATCATTCCCCTCCTCTGAAGAGGCACATCTAACTGCCTTTAGAATATGGACGATGACAAGTCTTAGCTACTTCCTGCTGACAGGGGGAGTTTTTTTGGGGAAAATGTCAGTCAGATTCCTCCCAGACGTCTATCTAAAGGTCCCTGACAAAAGGGAGCCATCATCTGAGGCTCTGATTGCCTGATCATCTTGAGTTTGATAACCTCTAAGTGAGAGAGGAAAAAAAAAGTTTTATAAGATTAAGTAGGCATGGGTTAAAATTGTGTATTATACAAGGAAAGAATCTAGTGCCAAAGATTACAGAAATAAGAAGTAAAATATACTAATTACCCTGAAAACACTATTGTACCCCGTGGTATAGAACAGAACAAAGGTAAGAACCACAAGCATAGGCAAGACTACAAAGAGGACATACATGAAATGTTAATTAACACTAACCTTTTGTGATTTTTAGTTTGAGTACCCTGATCTCTTCACAATGGTATTTTGGATGCTCCTCTAGGTTGAAAGAGGTGACTCTGTTGGCTTCCCAGGCCTTTACTTGAGTATAATGAATCCAAGAGTCTATTCTGGTGACCTTGACCTTCACCACCACAGGAGTGAAAAGAAGTACAGTGCAAGGTCCCTCCCAACCAGGGCATATTGAGAGAGAAAGGTAAGGAAGTACCTTTACCAGTACTAGGTCCCCTGGGTTGAATAGAGGTGGGCCTGGTTCGTGGGATTGGGCCTTCAACAGTTGTTTCAGTTCCTGTTGGAAATGGACCAAAGAGGTTATGTGCTTAATTAAAACAAAGGTTTCTTGGTCTAGCAAGAAATCATTCATGAGAAAATGTCATCCATACATAGTCTCAAAGAGACTCAAACCCAGACTTGAAGGAGTGTTTCTGATATATAGCAGGACTATGGAAAGAAGAGTAGTCCAGGGGAGATGAGTCTCCTGAGACAGTTTCTTGAGGTGCCTTTTGATAATATCATTTTTGTCTTTTCTACCTTTCCTGAGGATTGTGGTCTCCAAACACAATGAAGATGGTACTGTATGCCTAGTGCCTTTGAGACCCCCTGGGTGACAGCTGCCTTGAACGAGGGGCCATTATTGCTCTGGAGGTACTTAGGGAGTCCAAAGTGAGGAATTATCTCATTGATTAGTACTATTATCACCTCAGAGGCTTTCTCTGTCTGACATGGAAATGCTTCTACTCAGTTAGTGAAGGTATCTATCCACACTAGGAGGTACTGGATGCCCCTTACCTTTGGCATATGGGTGAAATCCATTTGCCAGTCTTCCCCTAGGTAGCCTTGGAGAAGACACTATTAATTAAGGGGATTGTTTTTAAGGCAGGTCTTGCAAGCATTAACAACCTGTTTAACTGTTTGTATCAGGTTTTTATCTGAGAACAATCTGAGCCAGTCAGTAGGTTTTATCTGTACCTAGGTGGAAGGCCTGGAGAAGGCTTTTAAGAACTTTCCATTGGTTGCCAGCTGGTAGATGAAGCATGCCATCCTAAGAGGTGTCCCATTCTATTTCCATAGGAGAGTATTGAGGTTTTATTTCTCTGATGGGGGCCCTCCAAGATCAGTAAGGCTTCAAGTGGGTCAGAGACCTGGGGCCCCCTTGCTGCTGCTAGCTGCTCAGTCTAGCTAGCTGCTCATAAAGCAGGGTGTGAAATAGTTACTCTGAATGATATTGTTGAGAGCACACCTCTCTCCTCAGGCACAAGTGCTCAACTGGCCAAACTAATTACCCTCATGAGAGCACTTGAATTAGGCAAAGGAAAAACAGTTAACATTTATACTGATTCTAAGTATGCTTTCCTAGTTCTCCACACCCATGCCACTATCTGGAAAGACAGGAACTTCCTCACAGCTAATGGGTATCCCATTAAATGCCATCAGGAAATTAATAGACTATTTTGCTCAGTTTTCCTCCCACAGGAAGCGGCTCAGCCCCTAGCTGCTCAGTCTGCCAGCCCGTTTCCCTCAGCTATTTCATCCATCCCTCTTTGGTGGCCTTTACAATGTATTACTGCCACTTCCTGTGCGTAAGAATCCCCTCGGTTGCTTGAGTGTTTGGGGAGGAGAAAGGAGGAGATAGGTTTAATCCTTTCTTCGCCCAATGCCCTGGTCCCCTCTGACAAGACCAGGCTTAGGTGCTTCACTGAAGTCTGACAGAGCTGAGCTTCAGATTTTGAAACATTATATCCTCTGTTAGCAAGAAAATTAAGAGGAGCCTTACTGCCCTTCTGAGAGATTTCCTCAGTTGGAGTGCAAAAGAGAAGGTCCTCCATGTATTGCAAAACTTTGACCTGAGGATAAAGGAACTTGGAGAGATCTCTCCATAATGCCTGCCCAAACAAGTGGGAGCTGTCTTGGAATCCCTGAGGTAACATTGTCCAGGTTAACAGGGTGGTTTGGTTAGAGGGATCCTCAAATTCAAACAAATACTGGGAGTTGTGGTATAATGGTATGCAGAAGAAGGCATCCTTTAGGTCCAGGAACCATTTAGTTCCCTCAGGTATTTGAGCTAGCAGGGTATACGGATTGGGAATCATTGAATGTATTGGAACCACAGCCTCATTAACAAGGAGGTGGTTCTGAACTAGCCTCCATTTCTAGTTGGGTTTTTGTACCCCCAATATTGGGGTATTACAAGGGCTATTGCAGGGTTTGAGTGGGCCCTCCATCTTCAAGTTATCAATGATGGCTTCTAGTCCTTTCCTAACCTCTAGTTTCAGGGGATATTGTTTCTGGTTAGGAAAGGAGGTGGGATCCTTAAGATGGACCCAGACTGGTATGGTAGTTGTGGCTCTGACAATCTTCCCTAGAGTTGCCCAAACTTCTGGGTTAATATTGGTCTCTACTAGGATGAGACAAAGAGTTTCCCTAGGGGCCATCAGAATGATGGTCCCCACATGGGCCGGAATATCCCTACCCAACAGAGGAGTTGGGCTTTCAGGCATAATTAGAAAAGCTTTGGTGAACAACCCCAGGTACAGCTAAGGGGTTGGAAAAAATATCGGGTTAAAGACCTTCCTGAGATGTCCCTCACAGTCATGCTAAGAGAGGAGAGGGGGCCTGGATTCAAGAGGAGAACTGAGAGACCAGTCCCAGTGTCCAAAAGGAGGTCCACTTTCCTCTCTTCGATTTCCATGATTACCCAGGGCACCTTGATGATAATGGTGGTCTGGACTACAGGAGCCAGGAGAGGAGCCCTGGGACCTGTCAGTCCTGCTGCTGGACCATTTGGAAGACTGGCTCTGGACCTGGTGACCAGCATGCCCAGGAACAGTCCACCCTCCAGTGGTCCCCACTGCAGATTGGACAGGGTTGAGGTAGCTTCCTCATGCTGTCTGAGAAATTCTTGAAATGCCCTGATTTGCCACATCTGTAGCAATTGACAGGTGCACCCTGGGAATTCTGGGGTTTGTGGGCTTGTCTGCTGGCCATTAAAGTCTCTGTCTCTTTCCTGTATTTCCTCTCTCTCTTGTGCCTACCTATCTCTATTATAAAAAACCAAGGTGGGTACTTTCAGAAGGTTCTCTAAAGTACTCTCTTGTCCCAGAGCCTGTTTTGTAGCTTCCTCCTGATATCAGGGGCTGCCTGAGTAGTAAATTTATGCTTTAGGATTGGTTGTCCCTCAGCTGAATCAGGGGATAGACAGGTGTGCTTTACTAAGGCCTCCCTTGGCCTTTCCAGGAAGGCAGTGGGATTTTCATCAAATCCCTGGTCAATCATGGATGATTTAGTATAATTGAGAGGCTTGGTCCTGGTCTTACATAAGCCCTCCATTATGCACACCTGAAAGTGCCTCCTCTTCCAGGCTTCCATCTTGTCATTGGAATCCTATTTAGGGTAATCCATTGATACTGCTTCTCTCCCAGTTGGATAATGTTTGCCCCCTTCCCTGACACTATATGTGATACTAAGCTCATCCCCAAATCTCTCTGCTGCTTGCAGAGCAGCCTGCTTCTCAGTGTCTGTCAAGGTCTGGTTCAAAAGCAACATAATGTCTCTCCAGGAGAGATCAAATATTTGGGTGAAATTCTGGAAAGCCTCTATATATCTGTCGGGGTCATCTGAAAAGTTCCCAAGATCCCCCTTAATTCACTTTAAGTCCTGTAGGGAGGAGGGGAACTGGACCTTACTGGGCCCAAATTCACCAGGCATTGGTTGAAGGGGCAAGAGTGAGGTTGGGGCTTGTCTAGGGTGAGGATTTTTAGGAGGGGGCAAGTGAGAGGCTGAAGCTGAATAGGGAGGTCGAGGTAGACCCAGAGGGGAAGAGCTGGAGGGGGCTGGCTTCTCTGCTTGGGGTGCCTCTGGGATTCATATCTTTAGTTTCCTAGGCTTGCCCCTTGCAGTCCTCCCTGAGATGGCAAGCAGGAGGGCTGTATCAATCCTACACTGTCAGCAAAGGTCTGGATTGCCTTGCAAGGTATAGAAAACCTGCACATATGGGACCTCAGACCATTTGTCTTCATGTATACAGAAAAGGCCTGATCACCGGATACTATCGAAATGAAAGGTTCATTCCTGAGGTCCACCCGGTCCTTCATAATTTGGCCAAACCTTTGTGCAGAGGGCTATGAGGCATTTTTCTTCCAGATTAAGAGGATCAAAGCAGTCCCATTGGTTCTGGATACACTCCAGAGGGGTATAAGCTGGGAGTGGTGAAGAGAGATGGTTGCCTATTCTGAAAGACAGAGAATAGAGGCATGCCTCATTCCCTTCCTTCTTTAGTGAAAACTCAGGGTGTGATGGAGAGAGAAAGCAAGACTGTGGACTCTGAGGTGGCTTGGCATGGGCGCCCAAGGACTGGCAGTGTGAAGAGGATATCCCTGCAGAGGGAAGAAGCCCAACGTGGAGGGTGAGGCCCCGAGGAGAACGAGAAAGATACTGAAGGAGAGCGGACTGGACCGGCGGGGGCAGTGGAGCCTAAGCAGGGGGAGGAGGCTGTGGACACAGCTGAGTGGCCTGGTGTGGGCACTCGGAACTCAGCAGGAACTACAGCAATTCTTAGAGCTAAGAGTGACAAATTTGTGTTGGGAGAACCATCTTCTTAACGACATTCTTTAGATTCACTGGTGCCATGTGCTGGCAAACTGTAACTGTTTCAACATCAAACACACGTAGTGCCCCCTGCAGCCCGCAGGTGGGTGCTCGGCACCCCCTGGTGGTCAGTGGTAGGCCTCACGAACGAGTCCACATTGCTACAAATCAATCAATGGGCAACAGAGACAGTGTGATGAGGAATGGGATCTTTACAATAGCCCCAAAGTGCGTCCTCATAACATAGTCACTGATTAAAACCAGAAAAAGAATGTATTTATGGTAGTGAAGCGTGACACCCACCACCTTAATTCAATGATCAACAAGAACATCATCAATCTTGGGGCAAACTAAAGTCACATGCCGCCCGGTAGAATGGGAGAAGAGCGCAGCAGGATGTCTATCGCATTTCTGCTGAAGTTACAGAACCTGAATCTAATCATGAGCCAATACATTAAAAAAAAAAAAAAAAAAGTGAGGGGCATTCTACACAGTAACTCTCCTGTGATCTTCACACTGTGTTCAGGTCATGAAGGTGAAGGGAAGACAGAGGGCCTTTGTGGGTTTCAGGACCCTGGAGAAGCGTGACAACCGAATACGGCACATGGCTCAGAAATGGATCCTTTGCTATAAAGGACACTATTGGGGCATTGGGTACATTTTGCATAGGGCCTGAAGGCTATTTGGAGTTATTATATCCATGTTAATTTCTTGATTATGGTTATAATGCGAAAATGCCTTTGCATGAAAAACACATTAAAGTATTGGGGTGTTGGGGTTTCATGCTGACAACCTACTTTCATAGGTTCAGGGAAACATATTTGTACCGTGCCTGCAATTCTTCTGTAAATTTGATGTTTCAAGATAATAAAAACAAAAAGGAAACTGAGCCTCAAAATGTTACATAACCTGACTGAGTCCACATGGGTAATAAGTGACAGCTCTGGGTGAAAACTCAGGTGTGCCTTTCCCCTAAAGTCACGCCCTGCCCTGCCAACCACAAGGCCCTGCACATCTGAGTTGGCCTCTGTTCCTGCTCATCACCTGCAAAACAGCCCTGCCTCCCCACAGCCAAGTTGCTGGAGCTGCGCCCCACCTGCCCCCACCCTGCACTGGCCTGACTCCCCCATTCCACACCTGGCCCAGCACCCACCACATGGTGTGGCAGACAGCACTGGGGCAGCTGAAAGACTCCATGCTACAAATTGGCACTGCCCAGCTTCCTGCTTCTGGGAGTGGGGTCCATTGGCTGAGCTTCCGCTCCCTGGAAGAGCTCCAGACTCCTCAATGGTTTGGGATTTTTCAAACCAATTCCAAATAAGCCAGGGGAGATTTTCCTGTCTTGGTTCCCATCATTACCACCTCCACAGTTGGAGATTCCCTCCTAATCCAGATGCTCAAACCAGGACCTCAACAACTAGGGCTTCATATATCACTGGGACACTTAGCATAATCACCATTGCAGGTTGCCAGACATCACCCAAAGTGATGTTCTACCAAAGACAGAAACTGCAGCTCTCCCGTGACCTTCCAGGTGCTGCCCTGACTCCTCCAGCTGAACCTGCTAGGGCAGAGGGAAGTGGAACGTGCAGCATATTTGCCTGCCACTCTGCCCATGTGCCCACCAACTCAGCTGCAGGCTCCAGGGACACAGGCTGGTGGGGGGGCCTGGGGCTCATGGCTGAGCCAGGTCGCAGGACAGACAAGTTGGCCTGGATCAACCTGACCAATCTCAGCTGGAGCAGTGAGTTCTTCATTGTCTGAATCTAAACCAGGAACCCAGTGGGGCTTCCTTAGTGCCTGTGTAAGGGCTCTCGGCTTTCACTGCTAAGGAGCTTGCTAGGGGCAGGGTGGGTGACCTCAGCCAAGGGGGGGATTTCTCTTCTTACAGACCTGGAGTTCCTCTTTCGCAGGTTCTGTGCTCCCCTCAAGGGTCCTTTGAGATCCTCCAGCCTGAGTGCTCTTGGGGAAACATGCTGTGTAAACACTATGCCCATTTCCTGCCTGGAGCACAGGTTTTGTGGTAGGGCTCTCAGGGGTGAGGAGGAAGCCTGGCAGCCCCCACATCTATAAATGCTGCGTCTACCTTACCCTCTGACTTGGAGGCAGAGACCCAAGCAGCTGGAGGCTCTGTGTGTGGGTGAGTTTAGCCCCATCCCCTAGGTGTTCTCCAGCTTGAGGATCGCAGGCAGAGAGGACCAGCCCAGCAGCCACAGGCCTGACCAAAGCCCAGGCTGGGAAGGAGGGCAACTCCCCATTTTCCACTGGGAGGTGTTTCACAGCACAGTCAACATAGGTGACCTGCAAAGATCCTCATGTTTGTTATTTTCTTTGGCCAGATCCATCCCTACAGGGTTCAGCAGGGCCTACAGGAGGGGCAGTGAGAGAACAGACCCCAAAAAGAAAGGGGACTCCATGACTGACCACCTTGAGGGGGGCCAGGCTGCGGGCCCCGTTCATCTTTTTTCATTCTCAGGTCGCTGATTTCTTGGAGCCTGAAAAGAAAGTAACACAGCAGGGATGAGGACAGATGGTGTGAGTCAGTGAGTGAGTGACCTGACTAATAGCCTGGGAGGGACAGGGCAGGTTTTCTGCAGAGCACGGAAGATTCAGCTGAAGTCAGAGAGGTGAAGCCAGTTTCCCAGGGTAACATAGTGAGGCACTGAAAGAAAGGAGACTGCACTGGAGCCCAGGTCCCCGGGCTCCCCAGAGCTCCTTACTCTTCCTCCTCCTCAGCAGCCTGGAGACCCCACAACCTCCAGCCGGAGGCCTGAAGCATGAGGCCATGCCAGGTGCCAGGTGATGCTGGGAATTTTCCCGGGAGCTTCGGGTCTTCCCAGCACTCTGGTCTCGCCCGCCCTGCCTCTCGGGCTCTGCCCAGCTTCCTGAGTCCTGACAGAGCACAGTGGGGGAGATGTTGGCAGAGGTGGCAGATGGGCTCACGGCCATCCCTCCTGCAGGAGCAGCGACTGGACCCAGAGCCATGTGGCTGTGCCCTCTGGCCCTCAACCTCATCTTGATGGCAGCCTCTGGTGCTGTGTGCGAAGTGAAGGACGTTTGTGTTGGAAGCCCTGGTATCCCCGGCACTCCTGGATCCCACGGCCTGCCAGGCAGGGACGGGAGAGATGGTCTCAAAGGAGACCCTGGCCCTCCAGGTACTGTGCTGCAGACCCCACCCTCAGCTGAGGGACACAGACCCCTTTTCAGGAGGCCCATCTGTCCAGGCCCCTAGGCTGTGGGCCATAGTGAGCTGGGGGCTATAGTAAGCTGGGTGGGACTTCAGTCTGCAGGGCTGGTGGGTTCCTGGGGCCCTTATGATGGCGCATCCTGGAGAGTCTGTCCTCATAGTGCCCACGGAGTGATAGAGTGATAGCTGAGCCAGCCCTGGTGATAATGGGCATCGAGTCTCACTAGCTCCAACCAGTTGTGGGTGACAGATCCTACACATCCATGTCTCTTTTCTCTGCAGGCCCCATGGGTCCACCTGGAGAAATGCCATGTCCTCCTGGAAATGATGGGCTGCCTGGAGCCCCTGGTATCCCTGGAGAGTGTGGAGAGAAGGGGGAGCCTGGCGAGAGGGGCCCTCCAGGTGAGCAGGGTGGGGCAGGTGGGCAGTGGAAACATGGGCACAGCGACCCTGAAGTCAGTTACACGGGGATGATGGGGATCAGACAAACCCTACAGGTTCCCCAAGGGCATTTGGCTCAACCTAAGTAAGAGAGGATAAGCTTGAGGGAGAAAGCTGAGGTGTCTGGGGAGTGTGGTCACAATTCAGGGAAAGGCAGGTGTGGGAAGTCCTCCGTGCCTCATGACCACCGATGGGGACACACTGAGTCAGGTGTGGGATGAGGGACAGCACTGGGAGGCAGGGGAGGCATGTCCTGGGATGGAGGCCCTGGGGGCTGTCTGAAGGGTGAATGCGGACGAGGCATCCAGACAGACGGTGTGATCAGGAGCCCCACAGACAGAGGGGAACTTTGAAGCTCAGAGCGGTAAGCAAGTCCATCAGGGCAGTGCAGAGAGCATCATGCTTGCCCTTGGTGGAGGGTGCGGGAGAGGGACTTGCCCCACAGAGGCGGGCAGACAGAACCCCTCGAGGGACAGAGCAGGAAAGAGGACAAGGGGTGGGGGTCTCAGCAGGGGCAAGGCTTCACTAAAGAATAGGGGACCACGGGGTGTGGAGACACACTGGAATCTTGTGGACCCTCTGAGCCTAGGGTCTGGGTGGCGCCTAACAGCAATGAAAGGGCAGAGTTCCAGGATTGCAGATGGCAAAACACCTGCGTGGCAGCAAGTGGGAGTCTTCACTGGCCTGCCCCTCCTTCTGTGTGGGGCACTCTCCACAGGGCTTCCAGCTCATCTAGATGAGGAGCTCCAAGCCACACTCCACGACTTTAGACATCAAATCCTGCAGACAAGGGGAGGTAAGGGGACCCCCTGGGCCTCACGGGGTAGGAGTTTCCCACAAATTCCCCTCATTCTCAGCACCAGCTTCTAGAACATAGAGATTACAAATAGGCATGCACATGCAGGTCTTGGGGAAAGGAATGACGCTTGCTTTTCTGATGTCTTTGAATGGCCCAGAGGAGACAGAAGCAGACACAATTCACTCCCCATTTCATAGGAAAGCAAGTTCTCCACCTGCCTTGCTTTCCACTGAATTCCAGGAAATTGCACCATTTCTGGCAATAAGTAATTGTTACTTAGGTGAATGAATAAATGGAGGAGAGTCTAAAAGTGAATTTAGAAAACTGCAATTGGAAGAGGAAGAGAAGACACAGAGAGAGGCAGAGATGGAGAGACTGGGGAGAATCTGGTAGCAGAGACCCCAGGTGAGGGAGGTGGCTTAGAGACAAAGTGGTCAGTGGCCTGACCCGGACTCCTCTGCTCTCAGCCCTCAGTCTGCAGGGCTCCATAATGACAGTAGGAGAGAAGGTCTTCTCCAGCAATGGGCAGTCCATCACTTTTGATGCCATTCAGGAGGCATGTGCCAGAGCAGGCGGCCGCATTGCTGTCCCAAGGAATCCAGAGGAAAATGAGGCCATTGCAAGCTTCGTGAAGAAGTACAACACATATGCCTATGTAGGCCTGACTGAGGGTCCCAGCCCTGGAGACTTCCGCTACTCAGACGGGACCCCTGTAAACTACACCAACTGGTACCGAGGGGAGCCCGCAGGTCGGGGAAAAGAGCAGTGTGTGGAGATGTACACAGATGGGCAGTGGAATGACAGGAACTGCCTGTACTCCCGACTGACCATCTGTGAGTTCTGAGAGGCATTTAGGCCATGGGACAGGGAGGACGCTCTCTGGCCTTCGGCCTCCATCCTGAGGCTCCACTTGGTCTGTGAGATGCTAGAACTCCCTTTCAACAGAATTCACTTGTGGCTATTGGGACTGGAGGCACCCTTAGCCACTTCATTCCTCTGATGGGCCCTGACTCTTCCCCATAATCACTGACCAGCCTTGACACTCCCCTTGCAAACTCTCCCAGCACTGCACCCCAGGCAGCCACTCTTAGCCTTGGCCTTCGACATGAGATGGAGCCCTCCTTATTCCCCATCTGGTCCAGTTCCTTCACTTACAGATGGCAGCAGTGAGGTCTTGGGGTAGAAGGACCCTCCAAAGTCACACAAAGTGCCTGCCTCCTGGTCCCCTCAGCTCTCTCTCTGCAACCCAGTGCCATCAGG
Source organism: Homo sapiens (assembly GCF_000001405.40). Classification (NCBI taxonomy): domain Eukaryota; kingdom Metazoa; phylum Chordata; class Mammalia; order Primates; family Hominidae; genus Homo; species Homo sapiens. Next base: position 79,614,530 of record NC_000010.11, read on the forward strand.
ATGAGCAATCCTGGCCAAGCATAATGACAGAGAGAGGCAGACTTCGGGGAAGCCCTGACTGTGCAGAGCTAAGGACACAGTGGAGATTCTCTGGCACTCTGAGGTCTCTGTGGCAGGCCTGGTCAGGCTCTCCATGAGGTTAGAAGGCCAGGTAGTGTTCCAGCAGGGTGGTGGCCAAGCCAACCCCATGATTGATGTGTACGATTCACTCCTTTGAGTCTTTGAATGGCAACTCAGCCCCCTGACCTGAAGACAGCCAGCCTAGGCCTCTAGGGTGACCTAGAGCCGCCTTCAGATGTGACCCGAGTAACTTTCAACTGATGAACAAATCTGCACCCTACTTCAGATTTCAGTGGGCATTCACACCACCCCCCACACCACTGGCTCTGCTTTCTCCTTTCATTAATCCATTCACCCAGATATTTCATTAAAATTATCACGTGCCAGGTCTTAGGATATGTCGTGGGGTGGGCAAGGTAATCAGTGACAGTTGAAGATTTTTTTTTCCCAGAGCTTATGTCTTCATCTGTGAAATGGGAATAAGATACTTGTTGCTGTCACAGTTATTACCATCCCCCCAGCTACCAAAATTACTACCAGAACTGTTACTATACACAGAGGCTATTGACTGAGCACCTATCATTTGCCAAGAACCTTGACAAGCACTTCTAATACAGCATATTATGTACTATTCAATCTTTACACAATGTCACGGGACCAGTATTGTTTCCTCATTTTTTATAAGGACACTGAAGCTTGGAGGAGTTAAATGTTTTGAGTATTATTCCAGAGAGCAAGTGGCAGAGGCTGGATCCAAACCCATCTTCCTGGACCTGAAGCTTATGCTTCCAGCCACCCCACTCCTGAGCTGAATAAAGATGATTTAAGCTTAATAAATCGTGAATGTGTTCACATGAGTTTCCATAGCTTTGGTTCCAAGAAATATCACATTTCTGTATTTTTGTAAATCAAATGAACTCTGACTCTGAGCCCCCACTTGCCTGAAGATTGGAAAATTCAATCTCAGGATGTGCTTTCTTTGTTTGGTAGGAGGAGCCACCTCCTCTCCTCACTATGATGCTGCAGAGGGATGGGGAGCTACAGCCACCATTTGGAAGAACATACGGGCTTCCTGAGTCCACATGGTCCATTTGTGGGTGGGAATACCATGTCTTCTGTCCCCTACTCAGCCACCTGAATGATTTCTGCAGCCCAGCAGTGATGGTGGCACTCAGGGCTCAGTCCCAGGCCTTAGTGAGCCATCCTAGTCTCAGGTCTGCATGGAATGGGACCACACTCTCATGACCCAGGGCTGCGCAGGAATGAGACAATGTCTCCAATTGCTTGAGGAGGCAGCTACATATGTGTCCCACCTCCCACTTCTCCCCCTATAACACCTGTGAACACTCTTTCTCAGTGCATTTATTGCTTTTCTTGGGCGGAAGGAAGCTCAGAAAACCAATGAGAATAAGAGGAAATTTTTCTCAGTCTTTTATGAGTGATAATTTTTAATCTGATCACCATTCCATATGTGCTTAGGACCCAGCACAGAAATTATTGAGCCTTCTTCAAAATTAAGAAAAAAAGCAAGTAGAAGCATGTACAGATGTATCTCGACTTATGATGGGGTGACATCCCAATAATCACATTGCAGGATGAGAATATATTAAGTGGAAAATGCATTTAATACACCTAACCTACCAAACATCATAGCTGAGCCTGGAGTAACTTAAACATGCCCAGAAAACTTATGTTAGCCTGCAGTTGGGCAAAATCATCTAACACAAGGCTGATTTTATAATGAGGTGTTGACTGTCTCATGAAATTTATGGAATGCTGGACTGAAACTGAATGAATAATTCAGTTATATGTGTACTTGAAGTATGGCTTCTACTGGATTTGCATTGCTTTTAAGTCATTGCAAAGTGGAAAAATTGTAAGTCGGACAGTTGTAAATCCAGGACAGTCTACATTCCCAATTATATAGATAAATACTTTAAGCCTCTGAAAATTTGCATCTATTGAGATAATCATGTGGTTTTTGTCTTTAGTTCTGTTTATGTGATGAATCACTTTTATTGATTTGCGTATGTGGAACCAAGCTTGCATCCTAGGGATGAAGTTTACTTGATTGTGGTGGATAAGCTTTTTGATGTGTCACTTGATTCGGTTTGCCAGTATTTTGTTAAGGATTTTTGCATCAATGTTCATCAAGAATATTGGCCTGAAGTTTTCTTTTTTGTTGTATCTGCCAGGTTTTGGTATCAAAATGATGCTAGCCTTACAGAATGAGTTAAGGAGGAGTTGCTTCTTTTCAATTTTTTGGAATAGTTTTAGTAGGAATGGTACCAACTCTTCTTTGTACCTCTGGTAGAATTAAGCTGTGACTCCATCTGGTCCTGGGATTTTTTTGGTGGGCAGGCTATTTATTACTGCCTCAACTTCAGAACTCATTATTTGTCTATTCAGGGATTCCATTTCTTCCTGATTCTTTCTTGGGAGGGCGTATATGTCCAGGGCATATTTATCCATTTCTTCTAGATTTTCTAGTTTATGTGCACAGAGGTGTTTATAGTATTCTCTGATGGTTGTTTGTATTTCGTGGGGTCAGTGGTGATATCCCCCTTATCATTTCTGATTGTGTCTATTTGAATCTTCTCTTTTCTTCTTTATTAGTCTAGCTAGTGATCTATCTATTTTATTATTTTTTTCAAAAATCCACCTCCAGGATTTGTTGATATTTTTAAGGTTTTTCGTGTCTCTGTGTCCTTCGATTCTGCTCTGATCTTGGTTATTTCTTTTCTTCTGCTAGCTTTGGGGTTTATTTGCTCTTAGTTCTCTAGTTCTTTTAGTTGTGATATTAGGTTATTAACTTTCTAACTTTTTGATATGGGCATTTAGTGCTATAAATTTCCCTCTTAACATTGCTTTAGCTGTGTCCCAGGGATTCTGGCATGTTGTGTCTTTGTTCTCATTAGTTTCAAAGAAGTTCTTGATGTTTGCCTTAATTTCATTGTTTACCCAAGAGTCATACAAGAGCAGGTTTTTCAATTTCTATGTAGTTGTGTGGTTTTGAGTGAACTTCTTCATCTCGAGTTCTAATTTGATTGCATTATTGTCTGAGAGACTGTTTGTTATTATGTCAGTTCTTTTTCATTTGTTGAGTGTTTTACTTCCAATTATGTGATCAATTTTAGAGTAAGTAGGATGTGTCAATGAGAAGAATGTATATTCTGTTGTTTTGGGGTGGAGAGTTCTGTAGACATCTAACAGGTCCACTTGATCCAGAGTTGAGTTCAGATCCTGAATAACTTTGTTAATTTTCTGTCTCAATTATCTATCTAATATTGTCAATGGGGTGTTAAAGTCTCCCACTATTATGTGTGGGAGTCTAAGTCTCTTTGAATGTCTCCAAGAACTTGCTTTATGAATCTGAGTGCTCCTGTATTGGGCACATATATGTTTAGAAGAGTTATCTCTTCTTGTTGAATTGAACTCTTTACCACTATGTAAGGCTCTTCTTTGTCTTTTTTTATCTTTGTAGGTTTAAAGTCTGTTTTGTCAGAAACTAGGATTGCAGCCCCTGCTTTTTTCTGTTTTTCATTTGCTTGGTAAATTTTCCTCCATCCCTTTATTTTGAGCCTATGTGTGTCTTTGCATATGAAATGGGTCTCTTTAAGACAACATACTGATGGGTCTTAATTCTTTATCCAGCTTGCCATTCTGTGTCTTTTAATTAGGGTCATTTACTCCATTTACATTTAAGAATAGTATTGATATGTGTGGATTTGATCCTGTCATGATGATGCCAGCTGCTTATTTTGCAGACTTGTTTATGTGGTTGCTTCAGTGTCACTGCTCTGTGTACTTTGGTGTGTTTTTGTAGTGGCTGGTAACAGTTTTCCTTTCCATATTTAGTGTTTCCTTCAGGAGCTCTTGCAAAGCAGACCTGGTCATGATGAATTCACTCAGCATTTTCTTGTCTGAAAAGGATTTTATTTCTCCTTCGCTTATGAAGCTTAGTTTGGCCAGATATGAAATTCTGGGTTGGAAATTCTTTTTTTAAAGGAAGTTGACTGTTGGCCCCCAATCTTTTCTAACCTGTGGTGTTTCCACTAAGAGATTCACAGTTAGTCTGATGGACTTCCCTTGGTAGGTGACCTGGCCTTTGTCTCAGGCTGCCCTTAACATTTTTTCTTTCATTATGACCTTGGAGAATCTGATTATTTTATCTTGGAAATGATCTTCTCATGGAGTATCTTACTGGGGTTCTCTGCATTTCCTTAATTTGAATATTAGCTTGTCTTGCTTGGTTGGGGAGTTTCTCCTGGATGATATCCTGAAGTATGTTTTCCAACTTGGTTCCATTTTCCCCATCACTTTCAGATACCCCAATCAGTGATAGATTCAGTCTCTTTACATAATTCCATATTTCTTGTAGGTTTTGTTCATTTCTTTTCATTCTTTTGTCTCTATTTTTGTCTGCCTGTCTTAATTCAGAAAGCAAGTTTTCCAGTTCTGAGATTCTTTCCTCCACTTGGTCTACTCTGCTATTAATACTTGTAATTGCACTGTGAAGTTCTTGCAGTCTGTTTTTCAGCTCTAACAGGTTGGTTATGTTCCTCTCAAAACTGGCTGCTTTGGCTGTCAGTTTCCATATGATTTTATCAAGATTCTTAGCTTCTTTGCATTGGATTGCAACATGCTCCTTTAGCTCTGTGAAGTTTGTTATTACCCACCTTTTGAGGCCTACTTCTGTCATTCAGACATCTCAGCCTCAGCCCAGTTCTGAGCCCTTGCTGGGAGGTGTTGCAGTCATTTGGAGAAAAAGGGGCACTCTGGCTTTTTGAGTTTTCAGCATTTTTGCATTGATTCTTTCTAATCTTTGTTGGCTTACCTACCTTTGATCTTTAAGGTTACTGACCTTTGGATGGGGTTTTTGTTGTTTTTCTTTGTTGTTGTTGTTGTTGTTTTCCGTCTATTTGTATTTCTTTTAACAGTCTTCCCACCCTTCCATAGGGCTGCTGTGGTTTGCTGGGAGGCTGCTCCAGACCCTAGTTGCCTCAGTTCTTCCCATACCTGGAGGTATCACCAGTGAAGGTGGTCCCAGGGAGAGATCAGAGCTCTGTCCGTAATATGTGCCAGTGGGAATGGCTGGAAAGCCTGGCTGGGAGGTCCCACTAAGTGAGGAGAAATGGATCAGGTCCCTGCTAAAAGAAGCAGTCTGGCCACCATCTGTCAAAGCAACTACATTGTGCTTCTGCGGGGATTCTTTCTTGTCTGGACTGTGTGGACTTTCCAAAGCCCATAGACTGAAAGGGCTGAGTCAACCCTCCTCCCTGGGGCTCCATTCTGTCTCAGGCAGGCTCCATCCTGTTACTGATGGCAACCTGGAATTCCAAGCCAGTGGGTATTATCTCGCGAGGTACCATGGAAGTGGAGCCCATGGAATGAGGCTGCTCAGGCTCCCTGGATTTTACCCCCTTCCTAGGGGTATGTGTGGACCTCCCACCTTTGTACCTCTGAGTTGCAGACACAGTTTTTGGGGATCCCGGGGCTAGGGCATATAAAACTCCTAAGTCTCTGTGTGTGCATGAGTAGCTGCTCTGCCAAGACTGCACACAGCTCTGTGTGTCAGACCTGGCATGGGCTCATGAGGGGATCTCCTGATCAGTGGGTTACAAAGCTCTGTGGGAGAACAGTGGTTTCCTGGGGTAATACAATCACACACCCCTTCCCTTGGCTGGGGGTGGGGGTTCCCTTAGCTCTGTGTCACTCCTGGGTGGGCCATTGTCCAATCCTGCTTTCCTTCATTGTCTGTGGGTCAAGTTATTTCCCTGAACAGTCCCAATGTGACTATCTGGATATTTCAATTTCAGGTGCTGTGTTCACTCGCCCCTTTCATTCCTCTTTGTGAGTGCCGCGAACTACAGCTGCTTCTAATCGGCCATCTTCTCATTTCTTTTTAGATTTATTTTTACTTACTTTGTGGTTTAATTTTCTGTTGTTACTATACTATTTTATATTCTAAATTAATTATTGCTAGTTTGTAAGAAAAATTTTTGATATATATTATTTGTTGATCTTATACCCTACCATCTTTTTGGAACCTCGTTTTCCCCCAATATTTCTAATATAACTGATTTTGTTATATTTTATATGTTTCTATTTACAAACAGTAGAAATTTTGTATATCTCTTTTTGCAATTTATATATATATATATTTTTAATTTTATTATTATTATACTTTAAGTTTTAGGGTACATGTGCACAACGTGCAGGTTTGTTACATATGTATACATATGCCATGTTGGTGTGCTGCACCCATTAACTCATCATTTAGCATTAGGTATATCTCCTAATGCTATCCCTCCCCCCTCCCCCCACCCCACAACAGGCCCCGGTGTGTGATGTTCCCCTTCCTGTGTCCATGTGTTCTCATTGTTCAATTCCCACCTATGAGTGAGAACATGTGGTGTTTGGTTTTTTGTCCTTGCGATAATTTGCTGAGCATGATGATTCCAGTTTCATCCATGTCCCTGCAAAGGACATGAATTCATCATTTTTTATGGCTGCATAGTATTCCATGGTGTGTATGTGCCACATTTTCTTAATCCAGTCTATCGTTGTTGGACATTTAGGTTGGTTCCAAGTCTTTGCTATTGTGAATAGTGCCGCAATAAACATACATGTGCATGTGTCTTTATAGCAGCATGATTTATAATCCTTTGGGTATATACCCATTAATGGGATGGCTGGGTCAAATGGTATTTCTAGTTCTAGATCCCTGAGGAATCGCCACACTGACTTCCACAATGGTTGAACTAGTTTACAGTCCCACCAACAGTGTAAAAGTGTTCCTATTTCTCCACATCCTCTCCAGCACCTGTTGTTTCCTGACTTTTTAATGATCGCCATTCTAACTGGTGTGAGATGGTATCTCATTGTGGTTTTGATTTGCATTTCTCTGATGGCCAGTGATGATGAGCATTTTTTCATGTGTTTTTTGCCTGCATAAATGTCTTCTTTTGAGAAGTGTCTGTTCATATCCTTCGCCCACTTTTTGATGGGGTTGTTTGGTTTTTTCTTGTAAATTTGTTTAAGTTCTTTGTAGATTCTGGATATTAGCCCTTTATCAGATGAGTAGGTTGCAAAAATTTTCTCCCATTCTGTAGGTTGCCTGTTCACTCTGATGGTAGTTTCTTTTGCTGTGCAGAAGCTCTTGAGTTTAATTAGATCCCATTTGTCAATTTTGGCTTTTGTTGCCATTGCTTTTGGTGTTTTAGACATGAAGTCCTTGCCCATGCTGTAAATGGGCTAAATGCTCCAATTAAAAGACACAGACTGGCAAATTGGATAAAGAGTCAAGACCCATCAGTGTGCTGTATTCAGTAAACCCATCTCACCTGCAGGGACACACATAGGCTCAAAATAAAGGGATGGAGGAAGATCTACCAAGCAAATGGAAAGCCATTTATATTTTTATATCCCCTTTTTATAGGGGCCGGGAGAACCTATACATTTTTGAAGAGACTCATTGAAATTTTTCATTGAGTCTTTGTGACATAAGTTTATGTCTAGAAAACCCCATAATCCTGGCCCAAAAGCTTCTTCAGCTGACAAACAACTTCAGCAAAGTTTCAAGATACAAAATCAACATAAAAAATCCCTAGCATTCCTATATACGCCAACAAAAGACAAGCCAAAAGCGAAATCAGGGATGCGATCCCATTCACAATTGCCTCAAAAAGAATAAAATACCCAGCAATACAGCTAACCAGGGAAGTGAAAGATCTCCACAATGAGAATTACAAAACACTGCTCAAATAAATCACAAACAAATGAGAAAACATCCCATGCTCATGGTAGAAAGAATCAATACCATTAAAATAGCCATACTGCCCAAAGCGTTTTACAGATTCAATGGTATTCATATCAAACTCCAATGACATTCTTCACAGAACTGTAAAACACTATTTTAAAATTCATATGGTACCAAAAGACAATAAAGCTGGAGGCATCACGTTACCCAAACCTCAACCTGTACCACAGGGCTGCAGTAACCAAAACAGCATGGTACTAATACAAAAATAGACCCATAGACCAAGGGAATGGAACAGAGATCCCAGAAATAAGGCTGCACTACTACAACCATCTGATTTTCAACAACGCTAAAACAAAAACAAACCAGCAATGAGGAAAGGACTTCCTATTCAATAAATGGTGCTGGAATAACTGGCCAGTCATATGCAGAAGATTGAAACTGGACCCCTTTTTTATACCATATACAAAAATCAGCTCAAGATGGATTAAAGGCTTAAATGTAAAACCCAAAACTATGAAAACCCTGGAAGACAACCTAGGCAATACCATTCTGGACATCGGAACAGGCAAAGATTTCATGACAAACACACCAAAAGCAATCATAATGAAAGCAAAAACTGACAAAAGGGGATCAAATTAAACTTAAGAGCTTCTGCACAGCAAAAGAAACTATCAACAGAGTAAACAAACAACATACAGTATGGGAGAAAATGTTTGCAAGCTATGCATGTGACAAAGGTCTAATATCCAGCATCTATAAAAACTGAAGCAAATTTACAAGAAAAAAATTAAAAACTGGACAAAGAACATGAACAGACACTTTTCAAAAGAAGACATACACGCAGCCAACAAGCTTAAGAAAAAAATCTCAATTTCACCAATTATTAAAAAATACAAATCAAAACCACAATGAGATAACATCTCACACCAGTCAGAATAGCTATTATTAAAAGGTCAAAAAATAACAAATGCTGATGAGGTTGCAGAGAAAAGGAAATGTTTATACACTGTTGGTTAGAGTGCAAATTAGTTCAACCATTGTGAAAAATAATGTGGCAGTTCCTGCGGCCAAAAAACATAGAAAAAAAGCTCATCATCACTGGTCATCAGAGAAATGCAAATCAAAACCATAATGGTATACCATCTCACACCAGTTAGAATGGTGATCATTAAAAAGTCAGGAAACAACAGATGCTGGAGAGGATGTGGAGAAATAGGAACACTTTTACACTGTTGGTGGGAGTGTAAATTAGTTCAACCATTGTGGAAGACAGTGTGGTGATTCCTCAAGGATTTAGAACCAGAAATGCCATTTGACCCAGCAATCCCATTACTGGGTACATACTAAAATGTACATAAATCATTCTACTATAAAGACACATGCACACATATGTTTATTGCAGCACTGTTCACAATAGCAAACACTTGGAACCAACCCAAATACCCATCAATGATAGACTGGATTAAAAAAATGTGGCACATATGCACCATGGAATACTATGCAGCCATAAAAAAGGATAAGTTCCTGTCCTTTGCAGGGACATGGATGAAGCTTGAAACCATCATTCTCAGCAAACTAACACAAGAACAGAAAACCAAACAATGCATGTTCTCACTCATAAGTGGGAGTTGAACAATGAGAACACATGGACAAAGGGAGGGGAACATTACACACCAGGGCCTGTCAGGGGGTGAGGGCTATGGGAGGGACAGCATCAGGAGAAATACCTAATGTAGATGATGAGTTGATGGGTGCAGCAAACAACCTTGGCCCGTGTATACCTATGTAACAAACCTGCACATTCTGCACATGTATCCCAGAACTTAAAGTATAATTTAGAAATATATGCAAAAAACAAATAATTTGCTGAGGAAATTTTTATCTATGTGCATCATAGGATTTTTGCATTATGAGTGAGACTGACCTGTGATATTCCTTTTTTGTATGTTCCTTGTCACATTTTTGTATTGAGATCATTTTGGTCTCAAAAAATAAAAAATTTTTAAATTTTTTTCTATTTTCTTGAGGATTTTGTATGAGATTAGAACAATTTCTTAAATTATTTGTAAAATTCACTGAGGAAGACATAATTATAGATTGAATTTATAAATCTATGTAGAAAACTATTTAGATTTTTGTACATCTTCTTGTGTAAGTTTTGGAATTTATATTTTTCAATGAGTTTATCCATTTCCTATACTTTTTCAAATTTATTGGCATAAAGTAATTTCTATTATCATTTTATGATCTTTATGTCTGTAGGATATGTAGTGTTAGACTCCTCATCGTTCCTGATACTGGTTATTGGTGACTACTCTTTTTTCCTCTTTATCAATCTTTTGATTGATAAAGACCAAAACGTATCTATTCTTTTGGTCTTTTCTAAGAACAAACTTGTGGGTTTATTTATCCCTTCTGTTGCATTTTATTTTATTTCATTAATTTCTGCTTATTATTATTAGTTCAGATTCAGGAGGTACACGTGCAGGCTTGTTACATAGGTATATTGCATGATGCTGAGGTTGGGGCTCCTAGTGATCCCATCACCCAGGAAATAAACATAATACTCAATAAGTGGTTCTTCAACCCTTGCATTCCTCCCTCCTTCCCTGCTTTTGGAATCCACAGTGTTTATTGCTCCTATCTTCGTGTCCATGTGAATACAATGTTTAGTTCCCACTTCTGGGTGAGAACATGCAGTATTTGGTTTTCTATCTCTGCCTTAATTTGCTTAGGATAATGGCCTCCAGCTGCATCCATGTTGCTGCTAATGACATGATTTGGTTATTTTTTATGGCTGCATGCTCTTCATTATTTTCTTCTATTTTCTTAGGGCTTAACTTGCCTTATTTTTCTAACGTTTTGAAATGGATATTAGATTAATGATTTTCAGCATTCTTCTTTTCTAAAATATATACTTAAAGGCTATAAATTTTACTCCAAGTGCAGCTCTAGTTGATCTTATATGTTTTGATACTTAATTATTCATGATTATTCAGTTACAATGTTTTCTAATTTCTATTAGAATGGCTTTTTATGGCCTACAGGTTATTTAGAAGCATATTTCTTAATTTTCTTCTTAAATATATAGGGATTTTCAAAGTATCTTTTTATCATTGATATACAGAATAATTGCTCTGTGGTCAGGGAACATTTTTAGAAATTTGTTGAAACTTGCTTTAATATCCCAGCATATGCTCTATTTTTATTAATGTTTCATAAAAATAGTATTTACCCTTGAATTTTGGGGTGCAGTGTTCTCTATATGTCAGGTAATTCAGGTTTTTTAGTGTGTCATCCAATATTTTATCATCTACTGATTTTTGCGTCAGCTTGGTCTATCAGTTAATAAGAAAGTTGTATGAAAATCTTCCACAAGATTGTGGATTTTTCTGCTTTTTCTTATAATTCTGTCAATTGTCTCTTTATATGTTTTGAGGCCATATTTGTAAGTGCATACATATTTAGAGTTATTGTATCTTTCTGGGAAATCAAACCAGAAATTATGAAGTATTTATTTATGAATTATATTTACGAAGTGTAAAAAAAAAGAATGAAAAATACCATTTGACTCAGCAATCTCATTACTGGGTATATACCCAAAGGAATACAAATCATTCTACCATAAAGACACATGCATGCAAATGTTCACTGCAGCACTACTCACAATAGCAAGGACATGGAATCAACCTAAATGCCCATCAATGACAAAAGAATTTTAAGACTACATATTAGTTTTGAAAACAAGAGAGCTTCAAGCTCCAAGATCTGAGAGATATAAATTTAAGCTCTTAATAAAACCTGCTGTTTATTAAATTAGTGACTTACATTATTTTTTGATGTTGAACCATCTTTGCATTCCTCTGATATACCCTACTTGGTCTGATGCTTGATACACTGATTACACAGACTATGGACCGGGCACTAGTATTAACTCACGTAATCCTCATTAACCCTATTTTATAGATGCTATCATTCTTTCAAATTTACAAGTAAGAATATCGAGGCATATGGAGGTCAAAGTGATTTGCCAAATATTATGCAGTTAATTCATGGGCTAATGAATGTAGGAAATCAGATTCCAGAGACTTCTATTAACCATGACTACATTGCTGGTCTTAATAGCTATTTTTTACATTGTATTTTTGCATCTGTACTTACAGATGGGGTTGGCTGAGAGTTCCTTTCTTTTTTTCTGTCCTTGTGCATTCTGTGTTACATATTTGGCTAATCATTTTAGCTAAGTAGCTGTAGACACAAACCATTTCTAAAGCAGAGAAATTATCTCTTCTCTGAAGACTTGATACAACTCGCCACAAAACCATTTTGTTGATGGAGAAATGGTTGATAATTTTTTACTTCCATTTTAATATTTTATGTGATAAAATAATATATTTATTATTCTAACACTTCTAGGGCCAATGTAAGTAATTATAAACTTTCTTATAATATTATGTATTTTAACTAGTTTTCTAATGTATTGCTATAAAATCTACTGTAGATGGTATAATTTTATAATGTTAGTACTATCTATTTTAGTATAATAATCTCTTTTCTTTCCTGATTTGTTAATTTCTTATACCTTTTCTATTAATCATTGATATTGTATCAGTCAGCTAACACAATAGTAAATCTCCCTCTCAGGGCTTACAACAATAAATGTTTTATTTTCTGCTCTGTATCTTCCAGTTTGTTGAGCTTTGGCTGATTTCAGCTGAGCGAGCCTGGACTCAGCAGCAGTCACCTGGACTCCAGACTTTCAGGTGAATTCATGTCTGTTCCATATCACTTTCCAGGGAAATATACTTCCCATGAGTGGGAAAGAAACACAAAAGCCATATCAAACCTGTAAGCACACGTAAAGCTGTGGCTCCCTTCATCTTAGCTCATGGTCACATGGCCACACCAAACAGCAAAGGGACTGGAGTGTTTACTCCTCACACTCTAGTGGGAGCCTTTGTGAAGTCCTATGGCAAAGGGCCTGAGATGTAATTTTACAACAAAGAGGAAACAACCCAAACTACCACGGCCATATTTGCTAAGTTTATGTCTCTTACAAAGAACCAGTATTCTATTTTATTAGCTCTATAGTATTTTTAATTCTAGTTTATTAATTTAATTATATAATTTTCATTCATTCCTTTATTATACCCTCTTTTGAGGGTATAATTTAATTATAAATATAAATAAATAAATAATTATAAATAAATTATAAATTATAAATATTAATTTATCTGTCATGTAGGGTCCACACTCCTTGTAGGGCTATTTCTGAGGCTTGTCATTTCTATCAGCTCTCACTCTGCTTGTCCCCTGCTGTATTTGGTAATTGTCCCATGGTGAACTCAAATTGCCTGGCCTCCATCTGAGACACCACTGAGGTGCCTGAGCTATAGGTGTGGTTCTCCACTGCGTTTATGTTTCCACAATGCAGGAGATCATGCTGCTCTGAGACACTGGAAACGCAGTTTTTCATCTTGGCATAAATAGCAAAATTCAGTAATAGTCATAAGAGCAGCATAAATTCACCTCCGAGTCTATGAGAGGACAGACCTATGGGTACACATCCTTGGGGGAGAAACTCGTCCCCTCCAGAATCCAGGTTTCTTTGCTCCTAGGTGTATTTACCTCCTGCCTGCCCTCTGCCCACTCAAAACCACCCTTTCTCTGAGTCTGTGGCACAGTTAGGATCCTGGTTTAACGCAAATCTGTCAGTTTCACATTCCCACCTTCCTGGGAGATCTGCCTATTTGCTGTGTGAACTGAAAGTCCTTTGTCTTCTGGGTCTATGGGCCCTTCAATATTGTGTCAATGGCATCAGGAAACCCAGCCCTGAGAGTGATCTTCTTTACCTCGAGGGCCCCTCTTGGTGCCTGGCAGGCGCCCTGAATGGGAACCAGGAGGACCGCTGGATGGGGGTCTGATGACATGAGTACACAGGGTGAGGACACTTGAGAAACCAAAATGTCCATCACAAGGCAGAGTCACAGGGAAGTGACCCACCCTACTCCCCACCTGCGAAAAACAAACCTCTGAAGTTATTTGATGACATGAAGTGTTTCAAAGAATGAGTGTGAGTTTGGAGGAAGGCAAGCATTAAAGGTCACATCCAGGATCTGAATGGCTTGACCAGGCTCTGGTGACAAGAACTGGACACTTCCAGAAATTCAGGCCTGGATGAGCACAGATGGTCTGGTGTCTGCTCGAGGTCTCTGCCTCTCTCTTCATCCTTGTACCCAATCCTCCTCTGTGCCCAGCCCTGGACTGCACCCTGGGAACAGAGATGTGAACTGAGTACAGCTCCTGCCCTAGAAAAGTGAGATCACTGGTAAAGGGGGCACAGATGGTAGCTCCCGTCAGAGAGAAGAGGGCTGATTTGAGGACACGCTGCTGGAGGATTCATTTGTTCCATAAATGTTTATTGAGCATTGACTCTGTTTCCAGGCACTCTTCTCGGTGGAGAAACAAAAGCTAGAGAACAAGACCCCTGTTCTCATGAGCTTCTCGTTCTACAGGGATGGGGGGTGGTTGATGGTCAATAAATATGAAACCAAATAAGCAAAGATACAGGGAGATGTCTGGAGAGAGGGAGCAGCAGGTGCCAACATCCACATTCAGCTTTGGATTGAAGTCAGCTGCAAATACCCCTTCCCCTTGTGCCTGGCCCTGTGAGGTGCCCAAAGAAGACATTTGACAAACATTCTAAATGAGAAAAGAGGAAGGAGGTGACTCAGTGCTAGGGGTATTTAGTCTCTCCACCCCAGTCCTGCAATAAACAAAACACAAATGGAAGTAGTCCGATCAACTGATACAAAGATGTGTACACATGTGCGTGTTTGTGTGCGTGTGTTTGTATGTGTGTGTGTGTGTGTGCATGCGTTTGTCTGGTGGAAAATCTATGCATTCTTCTGAAAATAAATATCTGAAGAAAACTACCCTGGGAACCTGTGACTCTGGAAGCTCAGAGGCGCTGAGTCATAGAGATGGATGCCTGAGAGGGGGTAGTAGAGGAGGGGGTTAGGGCACTAATGTAGAGAGCCACCCAGTGCTGTGCTGGAGACCCTGCCAGCAGCCCTGGAGAGCTGCCCAGGACACAGTAGTTCTAAGGATGGTTGATTATTAATCTGGGGTTGAAGGCCAATCCAGTGCTGTCCCTGGTCATCACACTGATTGGATTGGACATCGCTGAGGCACCTGCCAGAGGCCTAGGCTGGAGAGCCAGCTTCCCTGTCACTAACTCCAGGCTCTGAAGAAGCCCTAGTAAGTCATTTCTGGAGGAAAGAGGTGGGGGCCTGGGCCAAGAGACTGGCCTCTTGACTGGATCCTGGTGAGGTCCAGGTAGGGGTTTAGGGGGGTCATCAGGTCCACCTGGGGCCTCTCTTTCTTTCTGGCCCAAGCAACTGGGAACTTCCTGTATCTACTTGGCCATCAGCAAACTAAAGTGTGGTCTTTGCCAAAGTGAAGAATAGAAGTGGCATGTGCACGCTAGCGACAGGTACAAGCCTTGACTGTGGCATCCTATGCCAATTCAGCGCCAACAGGAGAGGTTTAAAAGAGACAAAAATGATAGAAAGAGGAAAGTTGGAGAAGGACATGACCATAAAAGTTTCCTTCCAACTGGGCATCTCTCACTGCATCTTGGAGGAAGGGAAGAGTTAAGGGACTGCGGCTGGGATAGCAAGGGCAGACACAGTGTTGGACGGCAAGAGCCGGGACATTAGGATTCGAGGATGGAGCAGAGCAGAGGGAGAGTCCTGTGGGGTCCCAGCTGCCAAGTGTCCTGGAGGACAGGCCAGCCTGGACAAAGGCTGGAAGGGACTCTGATGGCTGGGTAGGGGCACAGAGCTGGGGGGCATCTGGGCAGCCTCCAGGAGGGGGAGTAGGAGCTGAATCCCTCCAGACTCAGGCTGAGCAGAAATTTCAGAGCCTGGTTGGTGAAACGGCCTCTCAGTGGAAGATCTCAAACCAAGAGAAGTCTCATCTGGACAGGATCAATCACCAAAAAAGGTCCCATTTTGAGGGTCAGAATCCTGCCTCAGGGCACTCTAGGTCCCAATCCTACAGCAAGTGCCTGTCACAAAATAGACATTATGCAAGATGGTCAAGAAGCAACTGGGGAAACAAGGGCTGCTCTGAGGACAGAGCCCCACCATGTCAATCAGGGAGCTTTATAGGAAATGAGAGAGTGGATATCATCAACCAAAGGGGACATGTGCCATCTACCTGGGCTCAATGGGGGTTTCCCAATGGATTCTTTGTAAATAGGCGTTGCACATATCTGTTTTTTTTTTAAGCTTTCCTTTATAACTTCCAGACCTACTTCTGATGGTGATGAATTTCTTTCAAAACCTAACCCTAGATATGGGGTCAGCTTTAGGCAAAATTAAGAGTTGCTAGCTAACAAAAGTAGCTAATATTTTAATGAAATGTCTTATTATTAAGCAAAATGCCCTCACACTGTTAAACTTGTGCTTCTCTCACCTCTTCCTTCTGTCTCTCTTTTTAATACCTTGATGCAGCAGCAATGGATGGTGGGATGCTCTCAAGGCAGTCAGAGTTCCACTTGAGTTCATGTAGCATCTGTTATAACAAGGTTAAAATTACAGAAAGTATACGATTTTATTCCCTTTAGCTGAAGGACAACAAAGGTGGATTTTCATGTTTCCTTGTAAAGTGCTGCTTCAGAGAAAGCACATTTTGGTATCCACTAATCCCAAGTAAAGTGACTTGGTTCCTAATGTTGATTTTGCCATTAGCCTTTGTTAGGTTATTTATTCTTTAAGCCCATCAACCCTTCAGTTAGTCTTCATTCTGCCTATTTGTTGTTGAAATTTAAAAGGCCTCCTAGTAGCTCCAATAGTTATAGTATAATAGAAACAAGCAAATACTCCTTTAAAAAAATTCTATGAGGGTAAAAACACTTGGATTCAAAAGTGAGTTTGAACAATATCTACCAAGTGGTAATTAGATAGACTTTTAAACTAAAAATACACCACAAGACTATTGCACACTTCTACTAAGGTCTCAAGGATTATTGAAAAGTAAAAAGAAAAAAATAGTGGGAACTTCTTTTAGTTAAAATGCACATCTTATCAGGATTACCATAATAATAGTAATTGTAACCTTTAGTTTGAATTTCTTTTCTGGAAATATAAAGTCTTAGGGAATTGTGATATAAATCCCAAGGCTAAAATAGGTGTCCACTTATCATTCTAATTTTTATTTGATAATAGTCTTCCTAAATAGACTATTATAAAATGGAAGGAGCAAGTTGGAAAACTTAACTCTGAAGAGCGGGCATTTCTAATTAGGAAGCTGTAGGAGAAAAGGCTTATGACTATCCAAAGCACTTAGGCATCTGATATATTATATGGAATGTCTTTCTCTTTTCCCTTAGTTATCAAAGAGAGAACAAGTTGAATGGTATTAAAACAAGAAAAAATAGTCTTAGTTGGATTAAATAGGACTTCAAGGGGCTCTCTGACAGATACACTCATGAAATTATGACATAACTCTGCAAACTTAATATGTGAAATAAAAAACATGTAGAAGACACAAGATTCTAAGGGGAACTCAAGGATTTTCTAAGATTGTTTTACATAACTGCCTCTTTTTTCCAAACTTTACCTTCTGTATCAACAAGCCATGATATAACAGCATCAAGGGCTAGACAGTCCAATGGCAAGAATGCTGACAAAGGTAGTTGTATAAGAATGAGTCGCCGGGTGTGGTGGCTCATGCCTGTAATCCCAGCACTTTGGGAGGCCGAGGTGGGTGGATCTCGAAGTCAGGAGATCGAGACCATCCTGGCTAACATGGTGAAACCCCGTCTCTATTAAAAATACAAAAAAAAAAAAAAAATTAGTCGGGCATCGTGGAGGACATCTGTAGTCCCAGCTACTCGGGAGGCTGAGGCGGGAGAATGGCGTGAACCCGGGAGGTGGAGGTTGCAGTGAGCTGAGATTGTGCACTGCACTCTAGCCTGGGTGACTGAGCAAGACTCCATCTCAAAAAAAAAAAAGAATGAGTCATATTTTGAAGGACAAATGGTTAATACCTTCTTTCTTGCTTTTTTATATTGGCATTTTTTTCTATGTTTTGGAGGAATTGAGGATTAGAAGGTTATTTATGAGAGTATGACTTGTAAGAGTATAGGCAAATTTAACTCAATTCATTAAATAGTTATTGAATCTGCAAAACATTATGGAGGATATAGAAAATTGTTACAGTATGAATCTTATCCTCAAGGAGCATAATCTTCTCCCAATATGAAGTTTAAGAGACTACCAAAAAACAATCTTCTTGTTAGAACAGATTATAATGGATTTTGCTCCTAAATCCAATGTAATAATGACACATTTAGAAACTGAGATAAAAATGTGAAATAAGACTTAGAACTTATTTGATATAAAATTTACTGGGCAAATCTATTGATAGCAGATATTATGTAGAATTTAAATTCCCCTACCTCAACTGGAAAGTAATAAGGTCTCATTATTATCTTATACTCATGCAATCCAGTGCGTTTTCAGTTAACCCTTGAACAACACAGTGGTTAGGGTGCTGACCTCTATGAAGTCAAAAATCACTGTATCACTTTTGACTTTAACTGCTGGTAATATAATAATAGCCTACCGTTGATCAGAAGCCTTTCCAATAACATAAACAATTAATTAACATATGTCATGCATGTTATATGTATTATACACTGCATTCTCACAATAAAGTAAGTGAGAGAAAATGTTATTAAGAGAATTATAGGATCTTCACTATTCACTGAGCGGAAATGGATCATCATAAAGGTCTTCATCCTCATCATCTTCATGTTGAGTAGGCTGAGGCACAAGAAGAGGAGGGATTGATCTTGCTGTCTCAGGGATGGCAGAGGCAGAAGAAAATCTATGTATCTGTGAACCCATGCAGTTCAAACCTATATTGTTCAAAGGTAAACTGTATATGGAAATTATAGAGGGGGAATACAATTAAATTAACTAACTTAATATTTAAGTAAATAATTTAGAGACTCAAAACCAAGAAGAGGGCAATATACAAATCTACACAAATGAATTGTTTAGAGTGTGGGGTGTGTGTGTGTGTGTATGTGTGTGTCCGTGTGTGACAGAGAGGAAGAAAGAAAGAGATTACATGAAAATGGAAATGTGGATCTTTTCATAGTAATAGAGGGGTGAAAATGTCCAAAAATAAATTTGCTAACTCTTGAGTAAACTGAAATGCACATATGAAAGCTTTGTAATTCATCCATGAACTTATAAGCACACATATACATACACTCCCCCACACACACCACACACACATTTATGCACTTGTAGAGATGTAGATAAATAGGCAGATAGATATAGACCACTTCTGTAGTAGTTAAAATCATTACCAATAGTAAAATATGAAAAAATTGTATGGTGAGAATAAGAAGATATTTAATTAAATTAATTATTATTAGAAATATATAGAGAGAAGCAGTAATGAGAGCTTGTAACTACCAGAATAAAAGTTGCTTCAGTTTCTAAATTTTCAAATCCCAAACCCTATGTTTCCCAGAAGGCTAACCCTTGAGTGCGAAAAAGTGTCATCTTAGAAATGACATACCATCACTACTGGCATATTCTACTGGTCATATAGATGAACCGTGGTACACTGAGAGGGGAAACTACACCAGTGCATGAATACCAGGAGGTAATGTTCATTGGGGTCCTTCTTAGAGGCCAGTTACTGTAGACTGCTCTCTGGCTCCAAGTAATGCACACACCTCACTAATTGTATCCTAAGTCTACCAAAGCTTCATCTCATCACAGCATTAGTTTGAAGTCTAGAATCTTGTCGTTTAAATCAGGTCTCGCTGCAAATACAACTCCTTGAGTACAGTTTGTCTTGATTTGAAGTCCTTTGAAACTAAAGAAACAACTTACCTATCTTTCACACATCCATCATAAAATGATGAGACAGGCATAGAATAATCATCATAGGCACTCTGACTTAATAGAAGAAAAAAGGAGACATACAGAAGTCAGCAGTCAATGAGAGTTCTGAAATCTAGCTGGGAAAATGTTAATTTTTTCTTTTTTTTTTTTTGATGAGGATTTAATCCTACTCCTACCCATTAATGGCTATTTCTTGATTCCACTGTCTGGCC
This sequence comes from Homo sapiens, assembly GCF_000001405.40. Classification (NCBI taxonomy): domain Eukaryota; kingdom Metazoa; phylum Chordata; class Mammalia; order Primates; family Hominidae; genus Homo; species Homo sapiens. The sequence goes on from NC_000010.11 coordinate 79,634,503, forward strand.
TCAGTTCTATCCTTCAAAATAGCCCTCCTTTTTCATAAAAGTTAGAACATATTTAAGTCGAGTACTTTACTCAGCCTGCTATCTGCTTAAAGAAATTTGGGTAGCCCACTTTAAAATAACTCTGGATTATTCAGTTTAAATTATCAATATTTTTACATATGTAATTTACCTTCAAATTTTTGTAGATTTACTGTGAATCTTACTGAGATTCACTCATACACAAAGGGTAACTCAGTAACCTTTTCAGAAATATGCTCTTCTCGTTCTTGAACTTTTGTTGAGGAGGCTGTAGAGCAATGCTGCGAGCTTCCTGCAGGTTCTATTGTTCGATTGAGTTATCTGTATATCATATACTTTATATTTTAGAGGACCGTTTGTCTAGCTAAATGGCATTCCAAAGCACAACCTTTGATCTTTCTGCAACATATGGAAAATTTTACAGTTATCTTTTTGGCTACAATTTTGGACCATACTTTCCTGGCAGTGCCCTGGATTCTATCTTTGCTTGAAAGCCATTTATTGATTTCAGCATTATTTGCCATCTGGTGAATCTCAGAATTTTCAAAGCCATTACATCCATTATTTTTAAGTTAATATTATTTATTTATTCATAAAAACAAAGGGAACATATATGCAAAAATAGAACCTTTTGAACTCTACAGAATGTTTTAATCAAAACTAGGTTAACAAGTAATTATTGAACATCACTTTTATGTTATGCAATCTATTCTGTGATGTAAAAAGAGATACAAAGTACTTACTCCCATAGTGATTGCATTATATTTGCTGTAGACAAATATTAAGTAAATTCATATTTTTTGGATTTTAGCAAGTACATTGAACAAACAAATCGGGGGCAATATGAGTATTGACTGGTAGTCTCTGTTTCAGCTAAGATAGTCAGGGAATGGACATGATGACTGTGTTAGTCAAGGTATCTAGAGGAACAGAAAAAATATGTATATATACACATCCATGTATATTCAAAGTAGGCAGCCCTCATCCACTCAAGGACTTTGCTTCCTCTTTTAGGGAAGGGGTTAGTGCATTTTTGGTTGCCACAGGATAGTTGTATCACATCAGGCAGAACTATGACCTTGCTATTTTCTTTAATTGACAATTAAGTATGGTTTTAGGAGATACATGGCTGCCACGTTGACAGGGGATGAACTTGTAATAGCTAATTTTATGTGTTGATTTGACTAGGCTATGAGTACCCAGATATGCTGACAAATGTTATTAAGTGTATCTGCAAGGATGTTCTAGATAAGATTAATATTTAAATTCATGGAGTGAGGAAAGCAGATTGTTCTCTAGTGTAGGTAGCCCTTATCCAATCAATTGAAGAGGTGAATAGCACAAATAAAGTTGATTAAGAGAGGACTCCTTTTCAATGTTTCAAATAGAAACATTGTCTTTTCTTGCGTATCGAGCCTGCCAGCTTTTGGACTGAATCTTACTCTACCAGCTCTCCTGGTTCTCATGCCTTTGGACTAAAACTGGAACTACATTTCATCTCTCCTGTGTCTCCAGCTTGCCAACTGCAGATATTGAGACTTCTCAGCCTCTATAAGGATGGTGTGAGCCAATTTCTTATCATTTCTCTCTCATCATATGTGCCTCTAGATAACGTTGACTAATAGAGTCATCATGTCCATTCCATGACTATCTTAGCTGTATATACTGCTCTCAATATTGAAAGATAGAGAGAGAGAGAGAGAGAGAGAGAGAGAGAGATTACAAGAAATTGGCTCACATTATGGAGGCTGATAAGTCTCAATATCTGCAGTTGGCAAGCTGGAGACACAGAAAAGCTGAAGTTTAGTTCTAGTTTGAGTCCAAAGGCATGAGAACCAGGAGACCTGATAGTGTAAGCTTCAGTCCAAAAGCTGGCAAGCTCAGTACCTGAGAAAATCCATGTTTCCATTTGAATTTAAAAGCAAGAAAAGACCAATGGCCCAGCTCAGGTAGCCAGGCAAGAGGAGTCCTCCCTTAATCAACATTTTTGTGCTATTCAGGTCTTCAATTGACCGGATAAGGCCTACCTACTTTAGAGAGAACAATCTGCTTTATTCACTCTATGAATTTAAATATCAATCTCATCTAGAACATCCTTGCAGATACACTTAATAACATTTGTCAGCATATCTGGGTACTCATAGCCTAGTCAAATCAACACATAAAATTAGCTATTATAAGTTCATCCCCTGTCAACGTGGCAGCCATGTATCTCCTAAAACCATACTTAATTGTCAATTAAAGAAAATAGCAAGGTCATAATTCTGCCTGACAGGATACAACTACTCTGTATACAACCAAAAGTTGCACTAATCCCTTCCCAGAAAGAGGAAGCAAAGTCCTTGAGTAATGTTTACTCTTCTTGTTATCTCCTAACTTAAATACTATGATGTAAAATTAGCATTACTTAAATACTAGGAAACAAAGTCAGTACATCTCATATTATATGATAAAGTCATGAAAACAGGAAGCAACCGTCTTGCTACTGAGTCACTACAGGTAGGTAATAGTGAACTCTGTCACTCTCATTTACACTCCTTCATTCCTGGAGCCATGAATTCTACTATGGTAAAAACAGCACCATATATTGAATGCTGATTCAGAGCATATGCAGCCTTCTGGAGATTTTTTCCCAGTTCTGCAAGATATTGCCACCTAGCTGGTGCTGCAGCAGAGTTTTTAATACGCTATTCCACCATTCTATCAATCCAATTGCTTCAGGGTCATGGGCAATATGGTAAGACTATTGGATCATAAGCATGGGCCCATTGCTGACATCTATTGCTAGGAAGTGACTTATTTGATTACACGCAATGGTGTGTGGTACACTGTGATAGTGTATAAGACATTCGTAAGTCTCTTATGGTAGTTTGGGAAGAAGCACTGCATGCAGGGAAGGCAATCCATATTCAAAGTAAGTGTCTATTCCTATAAGAACAAAATGCTGCTACTTCCATGATGAAATTCATCCCATGTAATCAGCCTGCCCCCAGGCAGCCAGCCAATTACTCCAGGGAATGTCACCATATCAGGGGCTCAATGTTGTCCTCTGCTACTAGTAGACTGAGGAATCAAGTCAGGCTTGGTGAGTGGAAGTTCATATTGTTCACTATGTTTTAACACAGGCACACCAGCTGCTGCAGCTGGGACAGGAAGCTCCAGGTGCCAGCGTGAGTGCTAGCTCACTATAAGGCTTTGGCTAGACCAGCTTCCACAAGCAGCTTCCACAGCTGTTACAAGGGAACACAGTTGTACCTGGAAGCTTGCAGACTCCAGGAACCATAGGGTCCCATAGCGGGAGTCACAGCTCTGGCCTCGGGAGCTCCCAGGTCTGGGTTCCCATAGAGCCACAGCTCTTTTTTTCTTCTCTCTTCTTGTCATCCACAACATGGTGAGCAAGGGGTGTGTTTCACCCTTGTTTGTGTTACAGCATTTTTAACCCTGTCATTTGGCAGGTCCCAAGTTCTTGTCTTACCTCCAGGAATAATGAGGTATACAGACAAGTTGAGGGTGAGCAAAGAGGAGCTATATTGAGTGACAGAACAACTCAGAGGATGTCCTGGAGTGGGCACCTCCATTCTGCAGCTGGGCATCCCAACATCTGCATCTCTCAGAAGAGATGAGGCCCTGGAGTTGGTAGCTCCTCTCTGCAGCTGGTCGTCCCAATGTCTGCTCAGTTCTGGCTGAGCCTGGGGCTTTTATGGGTCTCAGAAAGGAAGAAATGCACACTGATTGGTCCATGAGAGGCCATGGGTGGCCCCAGAAAAGGCATCACAAGTTTACACTCTGGTTCACGGGACTGGCAGCCCAGACCCCAGCCTTCACACCCATCCTGGCCTGAAGGTAGGGCCTCACCAAGGACCCACCCCCTTCTGTGCAGGAGCCCGTCTGCCTCCTGCTGCCATTCATGGCACCCAGGCTATTTGTGCCAAAGGATGCCTGCAGGCCAGTGTCAAGCTGCCCTCAGCATCTCCTCAGCTTCCCTCCCATGCTTGTCAGTGCCCAAAGCCTGGGCAGAGGCCAGAGGCAGGATGGTACTGGTGTATCAGCACTGCCTCAAGCATGCGCACACCTACCAGGCTGCAACAGCACCTGGGCCTACCCACAACCTTGCTCCAAGATCAGAGCAGGTGTCAAGAGTGGTGAGGAGCCAGGCAACGGGAGCAGAAGATACCTCCAAGTCTGTAAGGGCCTGGGTTTTTTTCCTGTGCCCCCAAGAGTGTAGAGATGCCTGACTCTGCAGCCATGGCTTGGGCATCTGTAGTTGCACCTTGAAGGACAGGTCTCCTGCCTGCTCCATGGAATGGGAGGCCCAGGTCTGCAGCCACTACTTGGGCTGCTGCACCTGTTCCCAGGAAGCTCCAGCTCCACCAACTCAGGAGGGGCATGTTTCCCACTTGTCCCCAGCTCCTTGCCATGTTTCACCGCTGTAGCTGATGTGACAGCAGTGGCTGCTCCAGATGGGGTGCCGCTGCCATCATTATAGCAGTAGATTATTAGACTACAGTGTATTTTTACCAGGTAAGGTAAGGTTTTTATGGTTCGCTGAGGACAGTCAATCCCTTCATAAACTAGAACCTGAAGACTGATCTTCTGAGAACATCAAAGAAAGACTGTCATTGGCATCCACACTACAGCAAAACTTCAGGACCTTGAACCTTGGGTTCATAATCTCACAACTGAAAAGGCTCCCTTTACACTCTTGGAACTGTACACCCATTAGAAGCCTTAAAGAAAAGCTAACCAGGGAGGTTTCTCCCCAGAAGAAGATGGCATCCTTGATGTGAACAGGTTTTCCCAAGATCACGGATCAAGAGTTCTCTACTATCATGAGACTCTTATCTTTGATTATTTGTCCCTTGCTTATGCTTCTATGAATAATAGAGGTGAAAGGGTTCTCTTGTGTGCACTTATGGGGTATACTTTTATTTGTGAAGGATTTTGCAGCCAGCCTTATACATGGATAACCTTACACCTTAATAGACAAAAATGAAGGCCCAATGTAGATGAGAAACTTTAATGGTACGTACATTGCCTCATAATCAGTCAGAAACAGAACATTGATTTACTCCTTTTAGTCCACATCATGGGCTAAGGAGAACATTGCTGGGAGGATTTCACTCTTCTAAAAGGGCATCATTTGTTAGGTCCTTATTCCATAGTTTGGAATAAAAATGTCAATGATTAAAAATGTATCCCTCATGATAGGCTCTAAAGCAGATTCTACTGTAAAGGCTATGGTTACACACAAACTTTAAATTCTCTTGTGAAAGTTATGCTAAATAATACAATTGATCTGGATTAGTTACTGGCTAAACAGAAGTCTCTGTACAGATGTTGGCACTTATGGCCTATGGAGAAAACGTCACGTATTATAGAGATTTAGTTGTAGGGGATTAATGAAGATACTCCTTAGTTAAGTGAGTAGACTCTTCATATAGCTCATTCTTTGATCTATTTAATTTTAGGTGGTTTGGTTTATGTGGACCCCGGGTAAGGAGCATACTCCAAACTCTTGGTATTATCCTACTGATAGTCATAATAATAGTCTTTCTGGTGTGCTATATTCTCTTAAAAGTTTTAAGTGTTTGCATGCAGCCATCTCTAGAATGTCAAATGGTCTCTCTTTAACTGGAATGACAAGAGCTGAAAGAAATATGCAGCCATGAGGACACCGTGACTTATGAATGACATGCTGAGACCAGAAACCCAAAATGATGGTAACTGAGAGTGGTGCTAAGGCCCTAAGTTTGTTCACACTCTCACCTAAGTGAGAACATGACCTAAAAAAAAGGGGGATTCTTTTAAACGAAATTATGGGAGGCCATTGTTTTGGACTGAGCTAGGCCCCAATAGACCAAACCAAACAAAACTCGGGTTGCTTGTGCTAAATGTAACATAATCAAACTACGTTTGATCATGGAAAACATACAAACACATAGGTTCTACAACAGACCAGGTTTTGTTTTTCTTCTGTAAACAGAATGTTCCAGCATATGGATACACCCTCTACTCAGTCCTTGTTCACATCTTTGCCAAACTCACTGTTCTGCTCTTTCCCAGTAAGTTTCAAGAGCCATGGTAATAGTAACATCAGTAACTAAAGTTTTGGTCAATATCTCAAGATTGAGAAAATGACCCAAAGAGGGAAATTGTTAAATCAAGTTTAGCCTAAAGCTGCCTCCTTACATATTAAAGTTCAACCTAAAGGTTTTTCTGTACATCGTGAACTATAACAAGTGGAGTTGTAAACCAACTGTAGCCCACACCTGTACCAATCACTGAGTTTTGGCCAAATGTAGCTAACAGTTCCAACCATGTTCAAATAAGGCAAAGGCCCAGCTGCAACTAATCCAGTTGTTTCTGTACCTCACTTTCCTTTTGCTGTCCATAAATCTTCTTCCACCACGTGGCTGCGCTACAGTCTCTCTAAATCTGCTGTAATTCTGGGCGCTACCTGATTCTCCCATCATTCATTGCTCATACTACTTTAAATTTAATTTGGTTGAAATTTTTCTCTTAATGACAATCATAGAATCAGTGTAACAATCTGTCTTCAAAAGTAGTAAAGTGTGTTACTTCTATAGGAGAAAACAAGACATCTGTAATGATAAGCCAGAATGGTCACTGCAAACAGCAAGATGTATATTTAACTCAGCCTATTCTTGGTGTAAAATATATATATATAAAATTTAAAGTAGTTTGAGCAATGAACGATGGGAGAATCAGGCAGCGCCCAGAATTACAGCAGATTTAGAGAGACTGTAGCGCAGCCACGTGGTGGAAGAAGATTAATGGACAGCAAAAGGAAAAGTGAGGTACAGAAACAACTGGATTAGTTGCAGCTGGGCCTTTGCCTTATTTGAACATGGTTGGAACTGTTAGCTACATTTTTATATATATATTATATATAATATATTATATATAATATATATAATTTATGTATTATATATAATATATATAATTTATGTATTATATATGATATATAATTTATGTATTATATAATATATAATATATAATTTATGTATTATATATTATATATAATTCATAAATTATGTATAATATATAATATAATTTATATATTATATAATACATCTATATTTTTATATATTTTATATTTATATATATTTAACATTATATATATTTATATATATCTATATATTATATATATTTATATATTATATATACATATATAATATACTTATATATAATATATATTATATATATTTTATATATGTATATATAGTATATTATATATAGTATATATTTATATATTATATATAATTATATATTATATATAGTATATATTTATATATTATATATAATTATATATTATATATTTATATATAATATATTTATATATTATATAATTATATATTATATATTTATATAATATATAATTACATATTATATATTTATATATTATATATAATTACATATTATATATTTATATATTATATATAATTACATATTATATATTTATATATTATATATAATTACATATTATACATTTATATATTATATATAATTATATATTATACATTTATATATTATATTAATATATTATAATATATATTATATATTATATTAATATATTATAATATATATTATATATTATATTAATATATTATAATATATATTATATATTATATATATATTTATATATATTTATATATAATTATATATTATATATTATATATTTATATTTTATATATATTATATATATTATATATTTATATATTTATATATTTATATATATTATAAATATATATATAATATAATATATTTATATTATATGTAATATATTATATAATATATTACATATAATATATAATATATTATATATAATTATATATTGTATCTTTATATATCATATATATTTATATGATATATATTTATATATCATATATATTTTTATATATATGGAAAACACATTTTAACTAGGTTCTGCACTCTCTCCTTTATCACTTTTTTACTTAGCTCAGATTTAGAACAACGTGAATAGTTCATGAGCTCAAATGTTCTCCCAAGTTCAGTTAATAACACCAGCTTGAGGTTGCTGTACACACTTAATAAAATGTGCTAATATTTAATAAAACTAATATTATTAATAATTACCTCATAGACTCTCCACTCTTTCCCTTTTTCACAATAAGCAAATCTCCTCTTTTTATAAGGCTCAGATTGGAGGGTTTATGCCATATTTATTTTAATACACTGACTTCGTGAAGATATCCTGAGAGTTCTAGAATTTTTTACATTAACATTTTCAGATTGATTTATCATGAATGTTATTCCCTGTGCATCTCTTTTTCATTTGTAACTGTTTATGAGGACTTGTTATGCACCAGATATTTTGCTAGCAACTTTATAAGCAGTATCCCATGTAATCCTCAAAATACTCTATGAGGAATTTTTGTTATTTATTCTCCTTTACAGGCAAGGGAATCTAAATCTCAGGGAAGTTCATTACCTGTTCCAATGTTACAGAGGAGAAAGGTGATGGAACTGGGATTTTAGTTCCATCCAGGCAATCCTACATCAGCTCTCACTTTTAATCTCTTCCCAACTTTGTCTCTCTCTATTTCTTTTCAGATGATAATGATTTCATAAGTATGATTGATTTTGCCTGACTAAGCCAAACTATATTAGCACGTTATTAGGTTAGAATAACTTAATCCCTTTACTTGGAGAAAAAAAAAACAAATCAATTAAACAACTGCATTGATGAGACAGAGGAACTGTTTTAGGCATAATGTAGTCTAGAAGTTTTTCAAGTGTGATCAACAGACCAACAGCATCCACATCATACACAAATGTATTAGAAATGCAAATTCTTGGGTACCATTCCAGCATGAATGAATCAGAAACTAAGGAAACAGCAATCTGTCTTTTAACACGTCTTTTAAGTGAATTTTAGATTCCAAAATATATTAACCACTGCCATAATCAAGGGGTCAATAAATTAATGAACATGAGTCAAGCTTAGGCACCTCTTATTTGTTTGCTTTTTAAAATTTTAATATGATATACATACATCATTAAAAAATTTTAAGTGTATAATTCTATGGTAGTAATTACATGCAAAATGTATAAACATCAGAACTATCTATTTCTAAAATTAGCTCATCACTCCAAACAAAAACTATACTCATAAAACGGTAACACCTTTTAACTCTCCCCTCACATCCTAGTAATCACTAACATGTTTTCTATCTCTATGAATTTTCCCATTCTAGATATTTCATATGTTTGGAATCATACAATATTTGTCCTTTTGAGTCTGGCTTATTTCACTTAGAAAATGTTTTTAAGGTTCATTATGCTGTAGTGTGTATCAAAACATCATTCTTTTTTATGGCTGAATAATAATCCTTTGTATTTATGTACAACATTTTGTTCATCTATTCATTGATTAAAGATTCATCTGTTAGGGTTTTTCTACCTTTTGACTATTGTAAAAAATGCTGCAAAAAAAAAACACTGGTGTACAAGTATCTGTTTGAGTCACGCTTAAATTATTTCGGGTATATACCTAGAAGTGGAATTATTCTATGTTTAGCTTTTTGATTAACCTCCAAATTGATTTCCACAGTAAGTGCACAATTTGATATTTCCACCACCAATGTAAGTGTCTTTAACTTTATCCACATCTTGGCTAACCCTTTTTCCTCCCCCTACTCTCTCTCTCTCTCTCTCTATATATATATATATTTTAATGTATTTATGTATTTATTTTTTATTACAGTCATCCTAATAGTTGCGAAGAAGGCCATGAGTGCTGGCTCATACCTGTAATAGCAGTACTTTGGAAGGCTGAGGTGGGCTGATCACCTGAGGTCAGAAGTTCGAGACCAGCCTGGCCAACACAATGAAACCCTGTCTCTACTAAAAATCTGAAAAAAAAAAAAAAAAAAAAAAAAAAATTAGCCGGGCGTTGTGGTATGTGCCTGTAGCCCCAGCTAGTCCGGAGGCTGAGGCAGGAGAATTGCTTGAACCTGGGAGGAGGAGGCTGCAGTGAGGTGAGACTGTGCCACTGCACTCCAACCTGGTTGACAGAGTGAGACTCTGTCTCAAAAAAAATATCGTTGCGAAGTAGTGTAATAATATCTCACTGTGATTTTGATTTTTATTTCCTGAATGACTAATGATGTTAACTCTCTTTTTATGTACTTGTTGGCTATTTGTACATTTTCTTTGAAAATGTATATACCAGTTCTTTGCCCATTTTTAAAATAGGTTCTTTAGTTTAATTAATTCTTAATAATTTATCTTTATATTGCATTTGCTTTTAGGTTCTTGGTCATGAAATCCTTGCTTAAGCCAATGTCTAGAAGGGTTTTTCCAATGTTATCGTCTAGAATTTTTATGGTCTCAGGTCTTAGATTTAAATCTTTAATCCATCTTGAGCTGATTTTTGTATAAGGTGAGAGATGAGCATCCAGTTTCATTCTCCTACATGTGGCTAGCCAATTATCCCAGCATCATTTGTTGAAAAGGGTGTCCTTTCCCCACTTTATGTTTTTGTTTACTTTGTTGAAGATCAATTGGCTCTAAGTATTTGGATTTATTTCTGGGTTTTCTATTCTGTTCCATTGGTTTATGTGCCTATTTTTATACCAGAGCTTTTGCACTGCAAAAGGAACAGTCAGCAGAGTAAATAGACACCTGAAGAGTGGGAAAAAATATTCACACTCTATACATCTGAGAAAGGACTAATATCCAGAATCTACAATGAACTCAAACAAATCAACAAGGAAAAAACAAACAATCCCATCAAAAAGTGGACTAAGGACATGAATAGACAATTCTCAAAAGAAGATATACAAATGGCCAACAAACATATGAAAAAATGCTCAACATCACTAATGATCAAGGATGAGTGCACCAAATCTCACAAATCACCACTAAAGAACTTACTCATGTAACCAAACACCACCTGTTCCCCAATAAACTATGGAAATTTAAAAAATAGCTTCTTTGTCTTCTGTTATTGAGTTTTAAAGATTCTTTATATATTTTGGATATTAAATCCTTATGAGATATATGATTTGCAAATTTTTTCCATTCTGTAAGCTATCTCTCACTTTCTTCATAATGTCCTTTAATGAACCGATGTTTTTAATTTTGATAAAGTTCAACTTATCTAGTTTTTTGTTGCTGTGGTATTTTTGGTGTCATATTTAAAAATCCATTGCCAAATCCCAGTTCATATTTATCCCTAAGAGTATCACGGTTTTGGCTCTCATATTTGAGTCATCGATTCATTTTGAATATATTTTTGTATATAGTATGAGTAAATTTTTTACATATGGTGTGAGTTAATTTTTGTATATGGGATGAAGCCTAACCTTAATTTGTCTTTGGAAATTCAGTTGTCCTAACATCATTTGTTGAATATTTTTCTTGACTTGGCAGGCTTGTTAAAAATAAATTTTCCATAAATATATGGTTTATGTCTGGATTCAATTCTATTCCATTTATCTATACACCTATCCTATGCCATTTCCATGCTGTTTTAATTACTGTAGGTTTTTGATAAGTTTTGAAATGGTAGAGTTTGAGTCCTCCAACTTTATCTTTGTTTTTTAGGATTTCCATGTACAATTCTGGAATTTGAGAATTGGTATTTCTGTTTCAGTAAAATGACTATTGGAATTTTACTAAATATTGTATTGAATCTTTAGACAGCTTTGGTAGTTCTGCTATTTTAGCACTATTAATTTGTCTTCAAATCCATCAACATAGGGTTGCTTTCAATTTGTTTAGGACTTCTTTAATTTCTTTTGGTGATGCTTTGCTCTTTTCAGTGTACAAGTGTTCACATTTTTCATTAAATTTATTCTTAGGTGTTTTGTTCTTTTAGATACTATCATAAATGGAATTTGTTTCCTAATTTTGTTTTTGGATTATTTATTTCTAGCATATAGAGACATGAATGAATCTTGTGTGTTGACCTTGTAATATGCAGTTTTGCTGAATTTTTTATTAGCTCTACTAGCTTTCTGATGGATTTTTTTTCAGATTTTTTTATATGTAGAATTATGTAATCTGAAAAGAGAAATAATTTATTCCTTTCCAGTTTGGATGCCTCTTATTTGTCTTTCTTGCTAATTGCTCTGCTAGAAGTTGCAATGTTCACTAGTGATTAAAGCAGACATCCTTGTCTTGTTCCTGATGTTAAAGAAAAGTGTTCAGTCTTTTGCCATTGAATATGTTGTTAGCTGCGGGTATTTTTAAAATGTCCTTTATTAGGTTAAGGAAATTCCCTTCTTTATGCTCAGTGACTTTTACCATGAAGGTGTGTTGAATTTTGTCAAATGCTATTTCTGTGTCAATGAATTGATCTCCTTTTTTTCTTCTTCTTCTTCTTTGCTGTATTACATCGGTAATTTCAATGTGCTGCTTTACATTGATTGGTTTTCTTACATTGAACTACCCTTACATTTATAAGATAAATTCTTCTTGGTCATAGGGCATAATCCTGTTTAGGAATTTGGTTTCCTAGTATTTGGTAAAGAGTTTTGCATTTATATGTGTAAAGAATATTCACCTGTAATTGTCTTTACTTGTGGTCTCTTCATCTGTACTTACACTAGGAGAAATGCTTGCCTCATAGAATGAATTAATCAGTAATATCTCCATTTCTGTTTTTGGGAAAGTTTGCCATGCAATTTTTGCCAGTTCGTCTCTAAATGTATCCTATAAGTTACTATTAAAACCATCTGGTATTCGCGGTAGCTCACGCCTGTAATCCCAGCACGTTGGGAGGCCAAGGCGGGCGGATCACGAGGTCAGGAAATCGAGACCATCCTGGCTAACACGGTGAAACCCCGTCTGTACTAAAAATAAAAAAAATTAGCCGGGCGACGTGGCGGGCGTCTGTAGTCCCAGCTACTGGGGAGGCTGAGGCAGGAGAATGGCTTGAACCCGGGAGGCGGAGCTTGCAGTGAGCCGAAATTGCGCCACTGCACTTCAGCCTGGGCGACAGAGCGAGACTCCGTCTCAAAAAAAAAATAAAAATAAAAAACCATGTGGTAGGTATTATAATTTTCTTGATTGGGTGGTTTTTTTTTTTTTTTTTTTTTTACTACAACTTGTATTTCTTTACCTATTATTGCTCTGTTGACATATATATTTTATTTCTTCTTGAGTGAGCTTAGGTAATTTGTGTGTTTCTAGAAAATTCAACAATTTCATCTAGGTTATCTAGTTTATGGCTTAATTTGGTCATATTATTCTCATAATCATTTTTATTTCTATAAGATCAGTAGTAATAGCCCCAGTTTTATTTCTGATTTCAATTATTTATTATCTCTTTTCTTCTTTATCAGTATAGAGTAATTTGTCAATTTTGCCGATTTTTTAATAGAATCAGCTTTTGGTTTTATTATTTCTTTCTCTATAATTCCTGCCCTGTATTTTATTTACTTCCATTTTAATTATTATTATTTCCTCTCTTCTACTTGTGTTTAATTTGCTCTTATTTTCTGGTTCATAAAAGTCTGAAGTTATGTTATTGATTTGAGATCTTTTGTACATTTTTTAATGTAGGCTATTGCAACTATAAATTTTCATCTGAGCACTGATTTTGCTTCATATCATAAGTTTAGTATGTTGTGTTGTTATTGCATATCTTCAGATATTTGTAATTTCTCTTCTTTGATCCATTGCTTGAAAAGGCACTCATGGTTTAATTGCCATATATTTGTATATTTTCCAGTTTTTCTCCTGTTGTTGATTTAAAGTTCCACTCCATTGTGTTCCGAGAAGATGCTTTGTATAAGTTTAATGTTTTTAAAATTTATTGAAGAATTCTTTGTTGCCTAACACATGGGCTATCAGAGAGAACATGTATTCTGCTGTTGTTGGGTGGAATGTCCTGTGTATGTCTATTAGGTATAGTTGATTTATATAAACACTATACTTTAATTCCTCTATTTCCTTGTTGCAGATTTTCTATCAAGAATTTGAAGTGGCCCATTGATGTCTCCAACTATTATTGCAGAACTACGTATTCTCTCCCTAAATTTTGCCAATATTTGCTTCGTATATTTTGGGGGGCCCTGTTGTTTAGTGTGTGCATATTTATAATTGTTATATCTTCTTGATAAATTGATCCTTTTATTAGTGTTTAATGCCCTTGTTCCAATTGTAACAGTGGTTAAATTAAAGTCAATTCATGTCATACTAGTAGAGCCACACCACCTCTCTTTTGGTTACCATTTGTATGGAATATATTTTTCTGTTTTTCACTTTCAATTTATTTGTGGCTTGCAACTAAATTGAGTCTCTTATAAAAAAAATGTAGTTGTGTGATTTTTAAAATCCATTACACTGACTTTTGCCTCTCAATTGGAAAGTTTACTTCATTTACTTTTATAGAAATTATTGATGAGAATTACTACTGCCATTTTGCTTTTTGTTTTCTATATGGCTTACAATTTTTTGTTCATTTCTTCCCTTAATAGTTTTTTTGTGATTAGTTGATTTTTATAGTAAAATGTTTTAAAAACCTCTGTCATTTTCTTATGTGTGCATTTTAAAAATATTGTCTCTAACTGCCATAAGGATTCTGTTTAATATCTTAAATTTATAATCCTCTATGTTTTAATTAATGCCAACATAATTTCAATAGCATGAAACACTCCATATCTGTGCAGTCCCCTTACCCATTTCATGTTGTTTCACAAATTACATTCATATACATTCTGTGCTGAATAACATAAATTTATAATTATTTTTATAAATTTTTTCAACATGTATAGAAAATAAAAATGGAGTTATAAACTAAAAATAAAATAATGCTAAGTTTTATAATTGCCCATGGACTTACTTTTTCCAGGAAACCTTTATTTCTTCATTCATCTTTAGGTTATTGTCTAGTGTCTTTTCATTTCAACCTGAAAGAATCTCTTTAGCATTTTTCATAGGACACGTCTGTAGGTTATAAACTCCGTCATCTTTTGTTTCTCTGTAAATGTCTTAATTCTTTACTCATTTATCATAGAATGTTTTGCTAGATAAAGAATTCTCAGTAAGCAGTTGTTACTGTTTTTGGTCTTTCTTTCAGGACTAAAACATATTTGTCCACTATCTTCTCACTACCATCATTTATAATGAGAAAATAGCTCTTAATCTTATTGAGAATCCCTTGTACATAATAAATCGATTTTCCCTAGCTACTTGCAAAATTGTCTGTTTGTCTTTAGCTTTCAATAATTTGACAACTGTATATCTGGAGAAACCCCGTATATATGGAGAAACCCCGTCTCTACTAAAAACACAAAAAATTAGCCAGGCGCAGTGGTGCATGCCTGTAATCCCAGCTACTCGGGAGGCTGAGGTAGGAGAATCACTTGAACTTGGGAGGCGGAGGTTGCGGTGAGCCAAGATCGTGCCAGCCTGGGCAACAATAGCAAAACTCTGTATCACAAAACAAAAAACAAAAAACAAAAACAAAAACACTAAATAATTCATTTAGTATGGGAGAGTGTGAGGAAACAGAAAATTAAAAAAAAAATAGACCAGCAATAATGTCACTTTTTCATGAATTTGTTAGTTCTTTCTGAGCTCCACTTACAGTTACTTTCCCATTCTTCCCTGCACACCGTCAACACATAAGGACTCAAATTAAGATGATGTATATGTTTACACTCCAAAATTTTTAAAGAAAAAGGAGAGAGAGAAAAAAAAGTAAAAGAAAAGAAACCCAAAAGGGAAAATAGCTAAGGTGAACTGGTGAGTTTCTACTCAGATTTCTTATTATTGAGTATGATGTATTTTGTTTTCTTAACTTATGTATAATGAAAATGGAAGAGAAGAATTATAAATCATAGTTCATTTTTATGATTAGTACATAAATAAAATTTGAGTCTTTCTTGGCATCCATTACTTTATCTTAAAAACACAGAGTATTTACTTTTTGTGTGGCAAAGGAGGCCTAATGGGGAACCTTGACCTTCATCTCAACTTGACAGTAAAAAGGTGCTCCTTCCTTCCCCTTTTGCTTGCCATGTGTCTGAAAAAGACTAGTAGCAAGAATATATAAAGAACTTTCAAAACTTAAGAGTGAACAAAGTCAAATTAGAAAGTGGGCAAAAGACATGAATATACATTTCACTGAAAAGAATATATGTTTGGAAAATCAGAGCATGAAAAGATGTCAACATCATTAGCCATTAGGGAATGAAAAATTAGAACCCCAATGGGATTTCAATATATGCCCAATGGAATAGTTACAATAAAAAATAATGACAACATTGAGTGCTAGCAAGGCTGCAAAGAAACTACATAACTGCTGCATGGTTGATGGGAATGTAAAATAACAAAGCCATTCTCTGTAACAATTTGGTACTTTCTTTAAAAAGCAAACAAACAGTTTAACAGGCAATGACTTTATGACTCAGTGATTTCACTCCTGGGCATTTACAGCAGAGTAATTTTTAAAAACCACGTTAATTCAAAAACTTTACACAAATATTCAGAACAGCTTTATTTTTAATAACCCCAAACTGGAAACGACCCAGACATTTTTGAAGGAGTGAATAAGTTTAAACAAAATGTATTACATTCATGCAATGAAGCACTACTTAGCAACAAAAAGAAGCAAGTTATTGATATAGACAACAACTTCCATACATTTTCAGAGAATTATGCTGAGTAAATAAATCTGACCACAAAAGATTATATGATGTAGAATTTCCCTTGTAGAACATTACTGAAGTGACAAAATTATGAGAATGGAGGAAAGATTAATGGTTATCAAGGGTTAAAGATGAGGTGAAAAAGAGGAAAATAGATGTGGCTAGGAAAGAACAACATGAGGGATTCCATGGTAATGGAAATATTCTGTATGTTGACTATATCAATCTCCACATATTGGTTATGATATTGTACTATACTTTTGCAAGATGTTACCACTGGGAGAACTGAGATAAGGTTACAAGAAATCTCTCTATATTATTTCTTATAACTGTAAGTAAATCTACAATTATATCAAAATTTAAAGGTTATTTTAAAAAGAGAGTTCTTAAATTAATAATTCATTCTCCCAACCTTAGAAATTAGAAAAGGAAGACTAAACTGAGCACAAAGCAAGAAAAACAAAGAAATAATACAGATTAGAGCAGAAATCAATCAAATAGAAAATAAAACAAAAAACAATAAAGAAATTTAAAGATCCAAAGTTTGAATCTTTGAAAAGATAAACAAAATTGAGAAATACTTAGATGATGAATAATAAAAAAGGCCGGGCATGGTGGCTTACGCCTGTAATCCCAATACTTTGGGAGGCCGAGGCAGGTGGATCACTTGAGGCCAGGAGTTCGTGACTAGCCTGGCCAACGTGGTGAAACCCCATCTCTACTAAAAATACAAAAATTAGCCAGGCATGGTGGCGGGTGCTTGTAATCCCAGCTACTCAGGAGGCTGAGGCAGAATTACTTGAACCCAGGAGGCGGAGGTTACAGTGAACCCACATCCTGCCATTGCACTCCAGCCTAGGCGACAGCAGCAAAACTCTGTCTCAAAAAAGAAAAAAAAAAAAGAAAGAAAAAAAAATAATGTGTTGATTACCAAAATCAAGAACAAAGGTTACTACTACCAATCCTCCCCCATCTCATCCAAATATATGAATTATAAGGGAAATACTATGAAACACTTTGTGACCACAAATTATACAACTTATATTTAAGGTAGAAAGTCTTAAAAATATATAAATTACCACAGCTGAAATAAAAATGAATAGAAAATCTGAATAAACATGTCAAATTAGCAATTAAAAGTCTTTCATAAGGAAATATACAGGACCACATGACTTCACTGGTAAGTTATTTCGCATATTCAATGAAGAAATGATACACATACTCAGAAAATAGAAAAAGAGAGAAACTTCCCAATTCATGTTATAAGGCCTATATTCAAAAGCAAAAATGAAAAAAGAAAGAAAGAAAAAGAAATTTTTAAAAACAAAAAAATAAAAATTAAATTACAGATCAATATACCTCACAGATATAGACACAAAAATCTCCAATAAAATATTATCAAACTAAATTCAACCGTATATAAAAATGATTGCACTCCATGACTAAGTGAAATTAATCCCAGAAATGCAAGACTGTTTTTGTATTTTAAATACAAAATGTAATGTAATATACTATGTTATAAAATGAACTAAAATGAAATGATTATCTCAATGATGCAGGAAAAGGATTTGACAGAATCTAATGTGAATTAATAAAAAAAATAGAATGGAAATTCTTCAACCTGATAGAGGACATCAACAACAACAACAACCAAAAACACTACATTTTACAGCATAGCTAATGGTGAAAGACTGGATATTTGCCCCTCAAAATTGGCGACGTGCCAAAGATGTCTATAAAGTTTACTCTCCCTAATTCTATCCAATATTGCACTGGAAGTTATAGTCAATACAATGAAGAATACATCAATAAAGCCATCAGGAAATGGAAGTGGCTGGGCTCAATAGCTCAGGCCTGTAATCCCAGTGCCTTGGGAGGCCAAGTCAGGAGACTTACTTGAGGCTAGGAGTTTAGAACCAGCCTGGGCAACAAAGACAGATCCTCTTCTCTATGAATTTATTTATTTTTTTTAAATTAGCCAGGCATGGTGGCATTCACCTCTCAGTCCTAGGTACTCAGGACGTTGAGGCAGGAAGATCACTTGAGCCAGGAGTTCAAGGTTGCAGTGAACTATGATTGCAAGCTACTACACTCCAGCCTGGTAGATAGAGAAAGAGACTCTATCTCTTAAAAAAATTAAGAAAATAATTATATTCACAATACTATACAAATAAACCCTTGGAAATACATTTAGCAAAATATGTGTAAGAATTGTATGCTGAAAACTAATAATCTAAGCAAATGGAAAATCATTCCATGCTCATGGATTGGGAGACCTACTCTTGTTTTTCTAGTAATTCTCCCATCATAGATCTATAGATTTAATACTATTGTTACCATACATTAGCCATATTATATGAACATAAATATTTCATTTGTGAGCCTCATATCTAATTATTTGTTATTTACATATAATTATTTTAATATAAGCTCTTTGAAAAGCACTTTAAAAATGGTTCCCTGAGACCTTGGCTTTCAAGTTCTAATTAAACTATTCAATATGAACTAGAAAATTTAGTAAACAAAATGTCATCTTCCGCCTCGTTATCTTTTTATTTGGAAAACTATGTTAGACTCCAAGGTATTCACTCCTTACTTCAATGTAGCAGAAGTAACCAGTTTAATTGTTCAGAACCTGACATTTATTTAATCATGTCTTCTTAGTGTTCAGGTTTAGTGTCTTCAATGACTGGATGCCAATCTGCTTCCTTTTTGACTTTCCTAGGCTCGGATTCATCAGATTCTCTACTTGCGTCATTTGCAATGGAAAGACCCTCCCACAGGGTAGAGGTTATTCATTCTCTATCTCTCTCTCTCTCCACCACAATTTTTGCCAAGAGCAAGTCAGGTTTTTGGTCAAGCTAGGTTTTTACTGCATGCTTTCCTTCAACTAAGTGTGAAAGAAATCTATTAAATAATATTTAATTTGGTCTCAAATGTGAACCATACTCTCCAACCTAGTATTTCTACCAAATAACCATGAACTGAAATTTACTTCATAGTTTTGACCTTCATAAATTGTTTGTTTCCCCATTTATCTCCAATTCCTATATGTTTTTAAATTATTGATATCAACTCTGGAGAAAAGAATAAGTCTTACACCCGGCATAACAACAGGTACAATTAAAGAAGTATGTTCCTTAACATGAGAAGAATGTTAACCCATTTCAATCACAAGTATTTGATTTTTCCATGAGTAACACTATGCTATGCATTGTGGAGTTTACAGAAGAGTTGAGATATGATCCTGACTTCGTGGTACATAATTTCATTTGATAGGGCAAGGCATATGTAATTCAGTAAAGATATAGATGTTACTGATGTACATGAGAGCCTTGTGGGCTGAGTTCCCTTATAGAAGTGGAGTTTGTGCAATCTTGAAAATGGGTAGCATCTGGATAAGAAAAGAATCAATCAAGTAAGAGAAATGTCCCCAAATTGCTTCCACAATGTTAGAACAGCTTCCTTCAGAAAAAGCTACATAGACATTTAAATTTAAAATTATAGCATCTTACAAACAAATATATAAATACCATTTACTTTTATGTCTAATACATTTAGAGAAAGTATCTAAGTCAATGTTAAAAATTCTATTTCAAATCCTCGCATGCATCTCCTTTCACTAATTAAATAATAGTGAACTGTGTTTTGAAATCATCAGACACTTCAAAATTAGTTTTCTTTTCAAATAATGCAATGTAGTAAAATGTGGACTTGCAAAGTTCTTATTTTACTGTGATTCTTCTATGAAAATAATGTAGAACTATTTAAAATTTTTCCTTAAATTTTCCACAAGTGTAAAGTAGGTAAAACACCACAAGCAATATTTGATGAATTATTACAATGTATTACATGTCTTTTACTTAATATGAGTTATACACTGAGAACTTTTTTTTTCACAATAATTCTCCGAGATGAAGATAAAGTGGATGAAAACTGGAAGTAAAGATGTATTCACCCTACAAGACTTAATAGTGAGACTGTGCTTAACTCAAGATTGCGTTGGCCAAGGGATTAAAGAGGCAGAGGAGAAACTGCTTCCAATGTTGTTTCCCAATAAATCAATAAAACTTGTCAGGGGTTTTCACCCAAGGAGAGAGTAACACTAATCTCTATCTTCATGTATACATTTTTTCCAGGCTTTTGGAGCTTGTCAATGATTCCCAAACTTGGCTTTATATTAGACTCACCCAGAGACCCATTAAAATCCCAATGTCACCAGGCATGGTGGCTCACACCTGTAATTCAAGCTACGTGAGAGGTTGAGGCAGAAGGATCCCTCAAGCCCAGGAGTTTGAGGCTGCAATGAGCTGTGATCATGCCACTGTACACTAGCCCAGGTGACAGAGTGAGACCCTGTCCCCTTCTCCCCAAAAATCCTGATGTCCAGGTTATCAAATTAGAATTTTTGAAGGTAGGATTGAGGCAGTGCTACTAAAAGCAAAGACAAAAAGAAGCAAGCAAGCAAACCACTTGATTCTAATATGGAACAAAGGTTGAGAATCACCAGATAGAAAAAGAAAACAAATTCATCAATACTGATCGTCTATTACCTTTAAATAACCTAGATCTCAAGAGATCCCAATATACAAAAGCTTTGGCTAGGACCTGAGAATCTATTATAATTAGCATTTTCATTAATCTTAATATCTCACTCATATCATGCACAAAATTCAATGTAAGATGGATCACAGACCTAAATATGAATGCTAAAGCTTCTAGAAGAATACTTTGAGGAACATCATAATGATCTTGGGTGAGATAAATAATGATTTTTTTTCTAGAGCACAAAATGTATTAAACATAAAATAAAAATTGTGTTAATGTCTTTACTATATTAAACTTATATTCATTTATTCAAAAAAACCTCATTACATATGTAAGGAACTCCTACAACAACAGAAAAAGATAACTTAAAAAGGGGGGCAAAAAGATTGAATAAATTTTCTTCAAAGACATACAAATAGCCAAAAGGTATATGAAAAGATGTTCAACATCACTAATGATCAGAGAGATACAAATAAAAGCCAAAATATGATATCACTTACCACTCATTAGGAGAGGCATTATGAAACAAAACAAGACGTAACAAGTGTTGGCAGTGATGTGGAGAAACTGGAACCCTTGTACGCTCTTGCTGGGGATGTAAATTGGTTCAGCCACTGTGAATTACAGTATGTAGGTTCCTCAAAAAAACTAAAAATAGAACTAATATATGATCCAGCAATCCTACTCTTGGGCATATGTCCAAAAGAATGGAAATCAGGATGTGGTAGAGTTACCCGCATACCCATGTTCTTTGCAGCATTACTCACAAAACAACAAAATTTGAAAACTTAAATGTCCATCAGCACATAAATGAATAAAGAAAATGTGGTGTATAAATACAATGGAATATTTTCAGCTTTAAGAAGGAAGGACATTCTGCCATCTGCAAGAACATGGATGAACCTGGAGGATATCATGCTAAGCGTGATAAGCCAGTCACAGAAGGATAAATTCTGCATGATTTCACATATATGAGCTTTCTAAAATAGTCAAACTCATAGAAATAGAGAATAGAATGGTTAGGGGCAGGAGGAAGAAGGGTTGCTGTTCAACAGGTATAAAGTTTCAGTTGTGTAAGTTGCATAAGTTCTAAAGATTTTCTGTGCAACATCACGCCTATGCTTAACAGTGCTATATTGTACATTTAAAATCTTACTAAGAGGATAGATCACAAGTTATGTTTTTACCTCAATGAAAAATGAATAGAAGTGTCACAGTTAGATAACACATTTGAAATACATAGACCTGACAAAATATTTCTATGGAAAGTAAATAAATCCTACAAATTGTTATGCAGAAGATACATCACTCAATTAGAAGTGGGCAAAAGACTTGAACGGTCAGTTCATAAAAGAAGACAGCCAATTGGGGAATCAGGATAAGAAAATGTGCTGAAATAGTTGGTCATCAGAAAAAATGAAAATAAAAACCTCAGTGAGATGTCATTACGTATCCAAGAGAACTGGTAAAATTAAAATGGCTAAATACCTGGAGACCGATATGGGAGGATAGCTTGAGCCCAGGAGTCCAAGGCTGCAGTGAGCTATGATTGTGCCACTCCACTCCAGCCTGTGTGATAGAGCAAGACCCCATCTCTTAAGAAAAAAAACTGAGTACTGAATATAGCAAGTGTTGAAGAGGTTATGAAGCAAAGAAAATCTCATACATTTGTGGTGGAAGAGTAAATTTACAGCTATATTTTAAAGAAGTTTGGCAATTTCTTATAAAGTTAACCTGCACACATACTCAGTGACATCATGATTCAATTTATAGGTATATACCAAAAATAAATGAGGGTGTGTATTCACACAACAGAGACCTATATAAAATTATTCACAGCAGGTTGTTTTTGTGGGCAAAAACTGGATGTAACAACTATAAAGTGGAGAAGAGATAAATTATGATATTGACTTACAGAGTAATAATACATAGCAATACAAAATAAAATATTGACACATAAAACAGCATAGATAAATCTCCAAAACATCATGTTGAGTAAAATAGGTCAGACACAAAAGCATAAAATCTATATGATTCCAGACAAATTTGACCAGTGGTTATTATCGACTGGAATAAAGCAGCACAATATTTTCTGTGGTAGTGAAACTGTTCTTTATCTTGATATGGCTGGTGTGAATATGAGTGCAGAAATACATAAAGTTAAGGTACACATCTTAAATTTGTTCATTTTATGAAATATAAATTTGGCCTTGGTAATGCACCTCCAAAATTTTTTATTAGGGCTATAATTAAATTTATATTTTTCTTTATAAAAATGCATGATGTATCACATTATATTTGAATATTTTTCTAATAGAAGACCTTATGGCTTAAAATTGAGTATTCTGTTTAATACTTATCATAAATTTATAATTTAATAAGTGATTTATAACTGCACAATAACATTACAACAATTTTATGTTTGGGTAAAATTGTCTTTATTTTAAATTTAAGTAGTACAGCAACTTTACATGGCTTACCTAAACCACACAATTATTAAGTGATATAATTGGGACTCTAATCCAGGGCTGTTTCTAAGTAATATGTTCATTTTTCTTCAAATTGATAACTTGAATACATCTTTTGAAAAAATTTTTATTAATTTTTTTAATTTAATTAATTAAGATACTCTCAAATTATTGACGATTATGTGGTTCTTATAACACTAGATGGGTTAAAGTCATACTTTTGACTTCTATTATTTATGTGATTTTATGTGATCTTGGCCATTCAGCCTTTTTTTGGTAAAAAGGGAATGATAATATCTCTCAAGAGTATTGCAAGATTTAAATGAAATTAAATGTGTTGAAAGCTTCTTTAAGAAATGTACAGAGTGCATAGAAGAATCTCAATTTTTATAAGTTTCTCAATTTTCCCTTTACATTTTCATTCTTATTGTCATCTGTCTCTCACTGATGCTGCTGCTTCTCATGTCGCCCCCTAAGTGCAGACTAGTTCTCACCCTCAGTGCTCTAACCACTGCCTCTAGAAGTAAAATAAGTGTCCTCTTGCAGAATACTTCTACTTCCTTCTCCTCAAACCCCTCCAGCTTGGAATCTCATACTATTTGATTATATTGATCACTCTCCCAATGTTTAGTCACTTTCCCTCATTCTTTGCAGTCTTTACAACCTGACTTAACTGCCATTATTTTGATGTCTCATTTAAATTACTTATCTTCTTTGACATTTGACCTCATCATTTCCAATGTACTTGCTATCTTCAGTATCTAGCTATTCAATCTCATGATCTCAGCTCAAACCACGTTATTACTCCTAATTGCAAATTTTTACAATCTAACTTTTAAGTCTCCTGCCTTCCGAACATTAACTTCTATCTTTCTAGTTCATTCCATTTACTACAACTTCAAAAATACTGTGACTCATCCTGGATCTACAATCTCATACAATATACAATACAGTCCTTATACAATTCTCAATCCAGTTTTCTCCACACATCCTTTACTTCTCAGCAAACCCACCTTCAAAACATTTAAATAATTTTTACTACTGCTGTTATCCACCCAGGCCAAGCCAAAATCATGTCTCATCTGAATTTTTATCCCCCTTCCTGCTTCTGCATTGGCCCTCACCCTCAGTCTATTCTCAATACCCAAGCAAGAATATAACATAGTATCATGGAGATCATGCCACTCTGCTCATTCACTTTTAAGGACTTCTAATTCCACTCTGGGTCATTATTGTACAGATTATACAGCTCTACTCATGCTCCCCACCAGGCACACCTCTTTGATCACAGCCCTGTTGCTCTTCCCCTCATGCCTCTGTTCTAGTTTTGCTGTACCCAACACTTCCTGGTGCTCTTTGGGCAGGCTGGGAATTGTCTCTGTGTTAGCCCATTCGAGCAGCTATAACAAAATACCATAGACTAAGTAGCTTATAAATGACAGAAATTTATTTTTCACAGTTCTGGAAGCTAAGTCCCAGATCAAAGTGCTCACATATTCCATATATGATGAGGCCCTATTTCCTAGTTCATAGACCCATCTTCTTCACATGGTGGAGTCGTCATATGGTGGAAGGGACAAACCAACCCCCTCAGGCATCCTTTATAAAGGCACCAATCTCCTTCATGAAGGCTCTGTATTCATGACATAATCACCTTCCAAAGACCTTAACTTTTAATAGTATCATACTGTGAATTACATTTCAACCTATGAATTTGGAGGGGGGTGGTTGTCAACATTCAGACCATAGCACTCTCACATTAGATGCTTTGTACATGGTTTCTCTGACTGAAAACACCTGTCTTCAAGTTCCCCCCTGAATTGTTTCCTTATCTCCTGGATTAGTTCCTTCTCATGCTGCTAATAAAAACATATCCTAGACTGGGTAATTTATAAAGGAAAGAGATTTAATTGAGTCACAGTTCTGCACAGCTGGTGAGACCTCAGGAAACTTACAGCCATGGTGGAAGGGGAAGCAACACATCCTTCTTCACGTGGTGGCAGCAAGGAGAAGTGCCAAGCAAAATGGGGGAAAAAACCCTGATAAAACCCTCAGAGAACATGAGAATTCATTCATATCACAAGAATAGCAGCGTGGAGGTAACTGCCCCCATGATTCAATTGTCTCCCACCAGGTCCCTCCCATGACATGTGGGGATTATGGGAACTACCATTCAAGCTTTAGATTTAGTGGGGGACCCAGTCAAACCATATCACCTTCTTCAAGTCTTTCACTCAAATGCTACTGTCTCCGTCATGCCTTCCTTATTTCCCTACTTAAAATTATATCTCCTCCTCGTGTTCTTTATTTGCTTTGTCTGCTTTACTTTCCTCCATAGCACTTAGCAACACTTAACATATTATGTAGTTTAATTATTTATGTTGTTACACATCTCCTTCCAAGAGAATGTAAGCTCCAAAAAGGCATATTTTTCTTTATTTTCTTTTTTTCACTGCTATATCCGCAGTGTCTACAATACAATGTGGTACAAGGTAGGAGCTTAATGTGAATGAATGAATGTTAGTCGTATTACCTTTTAAATTTACCTTATTTTTTAATTTTCTACATTTTCCACATTCCTTCATCCTTTCCACCTTCCTACATCCTGTGGGATGTGCATACAGAAAGCAGCAACATTAAGGTAAAAAGTTCAACCTTTGGATTAATATTTAAATCTTGAGACAGTTTTGCTTTTCTGTTGCCTTTAGCAAAACCACATTCCTGCTGCTGTCAGTTATGATGCACTGAGAAAACTTCAGAGACCTAAACTTTTTCCAGAGAAGAGAAGCTTTACTGGTGTTCCAGCCCTAAGATGAGACCAGCTAATGCATCCTGGTTTATATTTTATTTTGTCGCCTTTATTCGCTTTCTCTTTATTTTTCTTTTCTTCTTTCTTACATTGTATTTCTGTTTGGAAAAGACCATGTACAAACAGAGTAATATGTGGATCCATGCCTATCCATCTTAGTATAATCATGTATTCATTGTGCTTTGTTGTATACATTTGGTACGTATTCTAAATATGGACATATGCTATGTATCATAATGTACATAACCATTTCTCTATTGATAGACTGTTACAGTATTTTCAATTTCTGATAACAGCAAAAATGATCCTTCAGTTGCTATCATCAGTATTTATTTGTACATATCAATGATCATTTTAGAGGATTAAAAACAGAAGAAGAATTTTTAGGGAAACCATGTATAGTTAAAATGTGTATATACTTTTCACATTTTCATAGATAAAGAGCATCCCTATTTTTTTCCCCACTAACAACAAGACAAGATGGCTGGAGAAAAATAAATCACCAAATATCATAAAGATACTTGCATGTTTTATAAGTAATTAATAACTACTTTCTCATAACAGTAAAAACTATTTTGTTTTGTATGAGAGGATTTTTCTCTCTAAGTTTTAAAAAATCATTACATACAAATATATCACATCAAACCCAAAAGCCATTGCTAGCACACTGGTTCCTGTCTTAATATTAAGTATGAGATAAAAGGCCTTTATCTTCCAGAAAGTTGTTCATAACATGCCAAATATGTGAACACCCAATAGTCAAAGGACATTATCTCTATGATGTAATTTTGAAAGTTGGTAAAATAATTGTTTATCAATTTCATCCTACAAGCACACAATTTAAACCATTCTTTTAAAGTGGATTTTAGAAGATTGGAATAGGGAGTTATAGAAGTCAATCCCTCCACAAAAACTGCCATTAAACTGGAAAAAAAAAGAATTAACCTTTTTGGAACTCTGGATCCTAATCAGATAAATAACAACCATTAGTAGACTGCTTGATGCTATTGGCCTTTAGTAAGAAAATGGCTGTATGCACACACCAGATACTATCACTCATTCTTATTCACAAGAGTCAAAAAGTGAAAACAAACCTGTATGTGTAGATAAACAAAATGTGGCATGTACATACAAGGGAAGATTATTTAGCCATAAAAAGGGAATGATGTTCTGATACATGTTTACAACATGGATAAACCTTGAAAACATTATGCTAAACAAAATAAGCCAGACACAAAAGGACAAACAGTATATGATTCTACTTACATGAAAGATCATGAATAGTCAAATTAATGTAGAGGGAATGCAGATTGCATGTTTCCAGGGCATGGAGGCTGGGGCAAAGGGAATGGAGAATTAGTGCTTAATGGTACAGAACTTCTGTTTGATGTGATAGAAAAGTTATGAAAACAGTGTTAATTATAGAACATTGTGAATGTATTCAATATCACTGAGTTTTAGAATTGAAAATGATTAAATGGTACCTTTTATGTTATGTATATTTACCACTGGGTAATAAAATTGTATTAACGTAGAGGCAATTTTAACAGTTGTACCACTCTGGAGGAAGATATTGATAATGAAGGAGGCCATGCATGTGGAGGCAGGATATATTACATACATAATATAATATATAATATATATTATATTGTATATACACATTATGTCAGGGTGTGTGTGTGTGTGTATATATATATATATATTATGTCAGGGTGTGTGTGTGTGTATATATATAATATACCCTGCCTCCACATGCTTGTTATATATATATATATAGTAATATATGGTATATTACCATATATAATATATATTACTACATATATATGGTAAATCTCTACGTCTTCCTCTTAATTTTTCTGTGAAACTGAAACTGCCCTAAAAAATTCAAGTCCTACAAAAATGAAAATGAGTTAGAGTACTTTTTTTTTTCTTTGAAACGGAGTCTCGCTCTGTCGCCCAGGCTGGAGTGCAGTTGCGCGATCTCGGCTCACTGCAAGCTGCGCCTCCTGGGTTCACGACATTCTCCTGCCTCAGCCTCCGGAGTAGCTGGGACTACAGGCACCCGCCACCGCGCCCGGCTAATTTTTTTTTTTTTTTTTTAGTAGAGACACGGTTTCACCGTGTTAGCCAGGATGGTCTCGATCTCCTGACCTCGTGATCCGCTCGTCTCGGCTTCCCAAAGTGCTGAGATTACAGGCGTGCAGGCGTGAGCCACCGTGCCCGGCCGAGTTGAAGTACTTTTTCTGGAACAAAGAAACTTAGCATAAATAGTTAAAATAGTAAGAATTGTAATTAAGGGAAATTTCAGCTCAATATGACTTCAACAGTTTTAAAAATGTATTATTTCACATAAGACCATGGAGAGAGGAATTGGAAGCCCCAGAATTGATTGGGTCAGAAATTGAAAATGATATTATCAGTGACCCAGGTTTGAATGTCTCTCCCCACAGCATTGACTTCACTAATGGATGTGACCTGGTTGGCAGCAGCAGCTTGCACAACATGCTTGTTTGCAGTGAGTAGTAGAGAGAAGGTTTTGCTTTCCCAGAAACTCTGAAAAAGGTCATCAAACCTAAATTTCCTTAGCCTTTTTCTTCCATGAGCAAATCACTAGCAGATGACTGCTAGCAAGGTGTTACTATTACAATGAACCCCTAAGTGTCAGAGAAAGAGTTAGTTTGGGGAAATATCCTCTCCACCACAATCTTAGTCATTGAAGTCAATTTAACAATATATTGAAATATTTTTCTTAGAAGTTTAAAGTTCCATTAAAGAGTAGCAATTACAGAAATTATAGGTAGCCTTTAGTTCTACAAGTGACATTTCAAAAGGGAGATGATTCATCAATTTCAAACTTTGCCTGCAAATAATACTGGATGAAAATTAACTTGGCAAACATAATTAATAATCATGGGTTATTAATTACTTCTGCAAGGTGGGTGTGCTGATTTTAAAAGGCTTGAATAAAACATAAATTTCCTTAATTTATACTGTAAATGGAGTAATTTGGTGATGTAAATGGTAATATGTAAGTGACTTCTGCTTCAGATCTTACAACTTAAAATATTTTTCTAAAATTAGTTTTTGTACCATCTCTCCAGCATGTTCCAGCCTTTATCAGTCAGTCCAGGCTTCTATAACAAAATATCATGGACTGAATTGCTTACACAACAGACATTTCTCACAATTGTAGAAGCTGGAAAGTGCAAGATTAAGGTGCTAGCAAATTTGTTTCCTGGTGAGGGTCCTCTTCCCGGCTTGCTGTATCCTCACATAGCAGATAGAGAGAGAAAGAGAGAGAGAGAGAGCACTCTATAGACTCTCTTCCTGTTCTTCTAAGGACACTAATTCCATTGATGAGGGCCCTACGCTCATGACTTAGTCTAAACCTAATTAATTCTCAAAGGCCTCACTTCCCAACACTGTCACATTGTGGGGTAGGGCTTTAACATATGAAATTTGAGGGAAAAGGAATGTTCAGTCTAGAACAAAGCCCCATACATTTCAAAAAGCTGTGGGACAGGAGGGAATGGGGATGGTATTCAATGGTACCACATCCAAGCAAGTCTTGTATGGTTAAAACAAATCAATATAATAACATGAAATTTTACACAGAAACCTATCTGATTATAAACTGTATGCTTACCATAATCAACACTGATGTACATTGTTTTAAAAATACTTAATAGTGTTCTTTGTTTAACCAAATAATAGAGGTATTAACTAGTTTCCTAGTGCTGCCAAAAGAAATTGCTACAAAATTTGTGGCTTAAAATAGTAAAAAAAAAAAAAAAATTCTCAATTATAGAGGCCAGAAGACCAAAATCAAGGTGGAGGCAGAGCCATACATCCTCTGACGGCTCTAGGGAAGAATGCTTCCTTGCCTCTTCTAGCTTCTGGTGGCTCGTGGCACTCCTTGGCTTGTGACAGCATAACTCTAACCTTTGTCTCTATCTTCACATGACCTTGCTTGTGTTTCTGTGTCCCAAATACCCATGACGCACTCTAAATTCAGGATGATCTCACCCTGAGATCTTTAACTTTATTATATCTGTAAAGCTCCTATTTCAAAATAAGGCGATATTTACAGGTACTGGAATGAGAGCGGTTCTAGGACTCAGACACACCCTTATGAGGATACTACATGACCCATTACAAGGCACAAAGTAATTACCATAGGCAAACCGCTGATGAGAGCTCACTCCAGTATGGAATATATTCATGTTTCCATATAAGAGAAAAATTCGTCCCTGGTTCAGTTCATCTTGGCATCAGTACATGGGTGGGATTCAGAGACATGTAGGTGTGGAATACCAGATTCCACCAAACTTAAAAAGCTGGCATACTAAGTTGATAAACAATGTAGAGTGTGAAGTTGAGTTGAGAATGCTTATGCCATACAGTTTATGTATCTTATAATAGCCTTAATCACACTTCCAGTAACTTTCCCCATCATTGGGTGCTAAAAAATAAAATTAAAGAATTAGAATAAAAAATATATATACCTCTTTGAGTGGAAGAATGCTGTCAGCACATTTTGTTATTTTATTCCATTGTATAAAGTCTCGGTAGTGCTCTCTTCATAAATGTATTGAAGGTTTGGCTAAATTGTATCAAATTTGTGATTAAATACAAATGTGAATAGTATAAAACATTACAAAGGACAATCTGAATACTATGCTATACCAATTTTACAATTTTACAATGACTTACAGATGCCATAAATATTTACTTTAAGGGAGTAAAATAAGTTATAAAGTCATATTTAAGAACACCTAAATCCTTGAATAAATTTAAAATGGTATTATTATTTACGTATGAAGTCAGCTGACTATTGAAAGCTTATTTTTCAATAACAGAAATATATGCATTATCTGAAACACATATTCCAATATTTTCAAGAAACAAAATACTGAATTAAATTATCTGTATTTAAATGTTTATTTTGGTTATAAAGGTCCATGAAAATGCTTAAAGTTGGTTTATTTGATCTAAAAAGTTAATATGCAATTTTTATTTTTAATGTATCATTTTTCCCATTTATTCTTTTCTAAATAACACTTTCATCTTAAGTAGATGACTGAAGAAACAAAATGCTGTTTTCTTTATGAACTTGTAATACATTTCACTAATAATTAGGATGCTGTTCAAGGTGTTGAAGTGTACAATATAACAAATTGCATTTGCAGTTGAATAGTAGCAGAGTAGAAGCTGAAATAATAAATCATGTATAAAAGTAGCTTAAAACAGATGATAGCAGAGCAAAGAGTTTCCTGCCAACGCCCTCTAAAAATCGGTCCTTTTAGGCTTTTGTGCTGGTATTAGGTTTCAGTTATAGACAAGACATATATATATCTGACCTTTTCCTTTCCTTTTCTACACCCTGGGGTCAAAGTCTCCTATAAAAGGACATTTGCAGCAAGTATTTTCAGCTGGAGTAGGAGGAAAGGGCAGGAGTAGGAGAGCAGTATGATCACCTCTTGCCAATGCAATTTCACTTGATTTGCAACTGGTGTTTAGTAAAGAATTTTGCTATGCAAAAATAGTGTCTTAATTGGATTATTGTAAGACAAAGTATGCATTTTTCATGTCGTATTAGTATTTTATTAATAAGACTAGGGAAACCCACTAAATCCCTAAAGTGAATTTGATTCTCCCATAGAAACTTAAATCCTCAGTGTGACACAACTCAGTCCTTCTACTGCAGCAGCTCTTTTATAAATGCCTCCCAAAGCTCCAAGAAGGAACAAAGAATGTGACCCAGTAAGATCACACCATGAGTCTATATTGCAGAAACCTTTGTTCAACAAAACTGCAGATGCTCTGTTGAATCCACTGGAGATTGTTCTGATACTAAGGACAAGTATGTAAGTTAATGATTTTATTTATTTTAACATTTTAAAATGTTTTCCTTTGGGGAATTCTAATTTATATATCAATATTCAGGTAATATTTGCTGAAAACACAAACAGAGTCAAAATGATCTGCATTCACATTCTCATTTTCTATTATAACATAGAGACAACTACTTTATTATCTTTTTAGAAACTTTTGCAACTACTTTAGTTTCTTCCTAATTTTATAAATTAATCTATCTCAAAAAACTTTGCCCAAAAGACTTAGTAATAGCTGTCAACTTCAGAAAAACTAAAACTTTAAAGATAACTTTTAGAAGGAAAATGAAATACAGAAATAATGTATCTTATTTACACTTAATTAAAAATAATATGAATTGTCACTATTTCCTATGAAAACATCTCATGCCAAATTTCTTTTATTAAGCTAGGATTTAAAAGATAATTTAGTTGAAACTGGTAGAATCTTAGTAAAATTATAACAATAAGAAATTTTTATATTATATATAATATAGAATAATCACATTTAATTCCACTTGTTAGTCTATTCTGATTCTTTAGCAAGTTGATTCATAATTTGCCAACTTGGGTCAGAAATATTTTCTATTCTTAGCTTTTGCTGTCAGCAGAGATAATAATAATATAGAACCTGAACAACAAAGGATTGTGTATTGTTTCAATTTAATTAAAGTTGATTCCCTGCTTTAAGAGAGACTCACATTTTATATATTTTTTTATTAAAAAGAGAATGTAGATATTTGCTTTTCCAAATTTCCCATAAGATAAAGAAAACATATTTTTTCTTAATTACACCCTTGCTAAGTCACGCTAGCTGCCTGACCTTGGACAAAATTCTTAACCTCTTTGTGTCTCATTTTCAATAACTGTGAATTAAAGATGATTATTGTAGTATATTTCTCAAGGGATTGTTGTGGGAATTAAATAAAATAATCCTCTAAAATGCTTAGTACAGATTCTGGAACATAATAAGCAGAAAAAATTAATAACTTATTATTTTTATTTACTATATTATATGACATACTTTTTCTTTATGATCTTCAGGGGAATTTCTACTCATCTTAAAAACATATATAGATATTGATCTGCGGAGAAATATATCTCTGTTATTTCAAGGTCTGTGGATTACATAATGGTCAACTCTGATTGATTTACTGATTGATTCAAAAAATTTTAAAGCAAAACTAAAAATATTGCAGCTATGTTGGTTTTAACCATTCTAAACTCTGATGAAATTTGCTTTCTGTTTGGTTTGTGACTAGGAAGCTAAACATTATTTATTAGTAATGAAAATTTCTGGTGTCTAAAAAAATTCAAGAGGAAAACCATTAGATTCTATTACAATTAAATCTGTTAAGATTTAATTGCAAATATGTAGATAGTGCAAATATGTCTTAGGGTACAATTTTTGTTCTCATTAAGTTACCCATTTTACATTTTGAGAACACTAACAGATGAAATACTTGTCAAAGAGAAGATCTAAGATGGTTTAAAGAAAATATTAAATGAAATCAAACTTACTTGTCAAGCTCCATAGCACAACTTACAAGTCATAAATCGCACTCTGTATGACAGCTACGGGAGGGATCTGGGTAGTAAAACAAAATGATGGATTTTATCTTTCCTGTTTTTGAGTTATTAAGAACTAGTTGAACTATAGAATGACGTGAAAGACTCACATCAGGGATGGGAGGTTATTTGCAGAAACTCTTATTTTCTTTATCACATTAATGTCAATATTTGACATTTCCATACGACTAATTATTGAACTAATTTTTGATTTCTTATGCCAACTGTTAATAATCCTCTTTTCATCCAGAAAACAATCACTTTTTGTCTATCTGTAAATTGACATTTGTTATGTTAATTTGTTTTTGCTTATTACAAGGATTATCTTTTATTTACAACAAAGCATTCACAGATTGCCGTGACAGATTTGTCTTCAATCAAATCTCATAAACATTAATTGAATTATTGAAAGGAATTTGTAAATTATTGTGTTTTTTCTAAAATAGTAACATCAGCGTGTATATTACGTTAATTTTGTTTACAGTTTTTTGCTTCACATTAACTATATTTAACTGATTTTAACAGCCTTAGATAACTCCAAAACATCAATTACTTTACTTGGATTTATTAATTCATTCAAAAAATATATATATAATGAGAATCTATTATTTGCCAGGCACTGGGCTAGGCAAAGGTAAGAGTGAATGGCAAAATCATGTTCTCCCTGTTTTCCTGTAATATATTGTCTGGCTAAAGGCTGTGAAGGAAGAGTAATGTGAAGGAAGAGTATTCGAAGGATATAAGAAAAGGGATCACACAATTAACTGTATGTAGGCTGTTCTTAGGGAAGATTTCTTCTAGAGGTGGTACTTGGCCTTCAGTCAGAAGCATGATTTGATATTTGATGTTAACCAGGTAATTGAGGGGATAAGGTGCTTTCTCAGCAGAAAAGACATAGTAGGCAAAGTCTTTAAGTTAAAAGCATAGTGAAAGCTCAAAACTAAAAGGAGGCTTGGGTGTCTGGACTCCAGAGACAGGAAGAGAGTTTATAGAGTCTAGCAGAGATAGCAGAGAAGACTTTATCTTTTTTTTTTCTTTTTTTTTTTTTCTGTAGCAAACATCTTTCCTGTGAAAAATTCCCTCTCCTAGTACTTTAGTTCTGTGGATCCAAAATTTATAGCATTCTTCTACCACCACAGGGGTGAGTATATAATAAAAAATGTCAGTTATTCGAGTATGTAAGAAACTTGAAAGTCATCACTCCCATCCTTACAACAAGAAAAATGCTGTACAGACTATCAACAACTCATTTTAGATCCATTAGAGGACTGAGGTCACAGAAAAACTGCTGCCCCCACCCTAAATCCCCACTAAATTAGAGAGATGGGAAAATGCAAAGAATTATAGCCTAGTGGAGCAAAGGCCCAGGAGCCCCCACAGGAGTTAGTAATGGAGTAGAAAACTTTAATATGTAGTTGATTAATTTCTGGAAGCGCATTGTGGACAAGCTTGAGAGTTAACTTTGAAAAATATATAACATGATAATACTAATTAAAAGAAAGCTGGATTAATATATTAATTTCCAACAAAAAGACTTCAGAGAAAGAACAATTATAGGGGGATACAAAGGGGTATTACATAGTAACAAAGGATTTAATTTTCCAAGAAAACGTAACAATCCTTAATGTGTTTGCATGTAACAGGCTGTCAAAACACATGAGGTGAAAACAGATAGAACTGCAGGAACAGACAGATAAATCCACTATGATACTTGGAGGTGTTAACACCTCTCTATCAATAATGAATAGAACCAGCAGGTGGAAAATCAGTAAGGGCATAGTTCAACTGAATAGCACCAAAATCAGTGAGTCCCAGTCTCTCTTCCTGGAAGTTGATTCTTTAGCAGGGACGTCAGGAGTAGAGTGATGTCCAGGCCATATTTAATAACAAATAAATCAGAGTCTGGACATGATATGTAGGCATTCGTTTCTTTAAAAAAAAATTGTCCCAGGTGAT
Organism: Homo sapiens; assembly: GCF_000001405.40. Taxonomy (NCBI): domain Eukaryota; kingdom Metazoa; phylum Chordata; class Mammalia; order Primates; family Hominidae; genus Homo; species Homo sapiens. The sequence continues at coordinate 79,670,390 of NC_000010.11, forward strand.
TCCATTGTGAATCTAATGTTGAGAAGAAATATGCGCAGTGGTTTTCTTTGAATTCATTCTGCCTGAGATATCTAGAGTTGTTTTGGTTGTTGACATTGTTTTGTTTAGCAATTCATTCATTCAATTTTGTGAATTAACTTTCAAGAAATGCCTTTTCCTTGTTATAAAATTATTTTGTTTTATGTTATTATAATTTTTAAATTGTGATAAAAGTTGCTATCTCAATGTTGGTCAAAGGAAACAAAATTTCAGTTGACAGGAGAAATAAGTTTCAGAGATCTATTGTACATTATATAATAGCTCTATAGTGATTGTAGTTATAGTGACTATGGAAATAGTGACTATAGTTAATAACAATAGTATATAATTTAAAATAACTTAAAAATTATTGAGAGTAGATTTTAACTATTCTACATATTATTTTCTTTGTGATATGTGCATCTTCTGTCATCTTCCATGGGAAATTTGACATTGCAACCTCACCTGAGGCCATCACTTTTTCCTTGATGCTATGAACCATCCTGTCATGTGTTTGTACCATATCAGTAGTGAAACTGACAGTGCTCTGATAGGGGTATACTCTTTTATCCCAATCTATACCCCAATACCCAATAGCCCAGTATTCTTAGAATCCAATTGTATTCATACTCTCCTGGATCATTTCTGTTCCTTTGTAATACAGTCCCTTTCTTCCCTTATAGGCTCATATGACATTAACAGACAAGACACTTTTCAGAAAGACAGGTAAGTCATTTGTTAAAATCTCACTACTCTTGTTTAACAGAAACATATATATGCATGTATATGTGTGTACTGTATGGAAAAAGTGGAATTAGAGTTTATCTAGAAAAGAAAAAATTACCTCATCTAAGTGCAGAAATGAATAATACGTAAACCATACCATACAATTGTCTCTATCATATTTCCACAGATAAGTCAAAAATTTTTAAAATCTTATTGTTCATGCATAAATGCAGAAAACAATACCTCTAGTATATGTTTGTGTTCTATTGTACTTTCACAGAACTGTTTGATACTTAATACTATGTTTATTAAGAAAAATCTTTGCAATGGTTATGGAATTAAAATTTCATGTAAAAATGATTATGTAGATCAAGAAAAGTTGCAATTTTCTGGATTCCTGATATTTTAAATAAAAGTAGTTTCCAAAGGTGATTTTTTTATTATTTTAATTTTTAATGGAAATTTTCACAATATAACCATCCTATATAATTTTATTTTTCAGCTATTATTTTTGTCAACTCATTATTTATTAAGAAACAATGACTTTTAGATACTAATTTATAATTCTTGTTATAATTAAAAATCAGAGTTCATTGAATAAAATATCTGATTTATGACTCCCTAAGTCAACATTAAATTATTTTATTGCTATATCATGTTTTTTGATGGTCATAACTCTAGGTTTATATAGTAATTTCACTCCTCTTTCTTTTTTTTTTTTTTTTTGAGACGGAGTCTCCCTCTGTGGCCCAGGCTGGAGTGCAGTGGCGCGATCTCGGGCTCACTGCAAGCTCTGCCTCCTGGGTTCACGCCATTCTCCTGCCTCAGCCTCCCGAGTACCTGGGACTACAGGCGCCCGCCACCGTGCCCGGCTAATTTTTTGTATTTTTAGTAGAGATGGGGTTTCACCATGTTAGCCAGTATGGTCTCGATCTCCTGACCTTGTGATCCGCCCGCCTCGGCCTCCCAAAGTGCTGGGATTACAGGCGTGAGCCACAGCACCCGGCCAATTTCACTCCACTTTCATTGGGGGGAGATTTGCAGTTAATTCCAATTTGAATAATATCTTTGTAACTAAATTTATCACGAAGCTCAACATGACAATTTAGTATAGTTAATCTCCATTTCGTTTTACTTTTGCACAACTTTTCCAGTGAAGTGATCCTCTGAGATTAGGACTAGTTGAAATCGTAGGGCAAATATATAAATTGTTTAGAAGGAAGCCTTAAGATGCTTTAACTCATGCAATGAATTTGAACATAGAAATGAGAGGAAAGCTTGGATAATTTTATAATGAAAGGCTAAGCATGTTTTCCCCTCAAGAGGAAAAATTTAAATTTCAAACTGAGTATTACTCAAACATTAATCATTTAACTGTATAGCATGGGACATTTTGGGCATGGCAAATTCTAATGGAGGAGACTGCTAGAAATTCTCAGCCACACAGAAATCTGACTGCTTAATTTTGAAAGCTGCAGAGCTGTTAGAGCTGCAGAGCTGCTTCAATCTTTAAGGGAACTGTGGAAGTAAACCAGGGGTGACATGGATTATCAAATATTGTGGATCAGGTGAGCTCTAGGCTTCTCAATGCAAGGTAATTACCCTGCACTTTCATCTATTTTATAATATTGCCTTTATTTTTTTCCATGAAAGAGTTAGGTTTGGAAAAACAAGAAAAACACGGTTAAAATTATTTCTCTAGTGAATTGGTTGTGTTTATAAATCTTTAGCTTAGCTTGAGTCCCCCTTTGTGAAATGTATAAATCCTTTTGATACATTAACAAACACTTGGAAAATGACTTAACTTATTAAGTTGAATTCTCTAATATAAGGGTTATAAGTGAAGGCTTAATTATTCAGCATTACTGAATTCAATATATCTGCCCTTTCAGTTTGCCTAGGGTGACAAATACATTTCCCATTACAGCTTGCCAATGTAACACAGCCTTATTTCATTTTTGTTGTAAATAGAATCACATTCTAATATGTTTTAGCTGAAAACAGCAAAGTATATATTCAACTACTTCCCAATAGGGAAAATTTTTAAAAAAAGTTATTTCTTTAGCCCAGAGCTTTATTTTCCTTTTACATAACAGAAAAATACTTGGTGTGAAATAAAACCTTCTTACACGTAATGAGACCCCATAGAATTTTAATGAAAGACAATTGAAGACCCATTTTTAAATAAGCCATTGGGAAGAATTAATATAATTAAGAATAGAAAAAAACTAGATAAAGTTACAAGAACAACCTAGGAACATTTCTATATTTCTTCCTCATTTTCTGGAGTTTTAAAAGATGTTGAAACATTTTGACAGCTATAGAAAATGACCTAGGGACAAATATACTCTCTATTCCTGACATAAAATGATATGCTTATTTTGTTTCTCATAAAACTCAGCATAAAACTATATACCTAATAGTTATTTAAAAGGAGTTCCTAAAAATAAATATATTCATTATTAATATGTGACATGACTGAGTTACTTTTGAAAAACTACAAATTATTCAACATACTTTAACGTAGGATTTAGTATCAATATGGTATCCATTTCTTGATTCTGTTTTTCATAGTGCACTTAAATATATATGTTAATACTTTTGAATAAGTGCATTATGCTATGAAATGTTTTAATGAGAAAAATGAATCTATACAAAGCAACTTCATTTATATTTTGTTCCTGTCATGTTACATTGCTGATATTTTGTATTATACTAGACGACTCATTTTTAAATACATAATTGTATATGAAGTTCTCAATGTTAATGTCTGGAGGATACAGAATCAAAACAGAAGTTAAAAAATTAAAAGTAAACTATATTTTGCATATGAATAAGAATATTACAAATACCATATTTATATACTATGTTTATATATCTTTACACTATGCCAAAAGGTATATATGGCAGATAGAGAAATAATATCTCTGCATAAACATAAAATCAAGATACGTAATATTTTAAAATGTTTTTCATTGAAGTGTAATTGACATAAACTGAACATATCCAGTGTATTTTTAAAGTTTTGGCATATTGGTACACGAGAAAACACCATGGCAATCAAGATCATGAACATATTCACTTCCCTAAAGTTATTTTGTGTCTTTAGTAATCGCTTCTTCCCCTCTTCCCTACTCAATCTCCATGCAACTACTAATCTATTTCTGATACTACAGAATGGTTTACACTTGGTAGAATTTTATGTAAATGGAGTCACACAAAATCTATTCTTTTTTGTCTGTCTTTTGCACTCAACATAACTACTCTGACTTTCGCCTATGTTGATACTGGTAACAATAGTTCATTCTTTTTTTAATAGATTTTATTTTTAGAACAATTTTAGGTTTATAGTAGAAACTAACAAAGCAGAGAGAATTTCCATACACTTTCTCCTACTCTCCATGTTCTTTATGATTAATATCTTGAATTAGTGTGGTACATTCGTTATAATTGATGCATCAGTATTGACATTATAAATGAAAGTCCATAAATTAGTTTTATATTAGCGTTCACTCTTGACATTATACATTTCATGCGTTTGGACAAATGCATATGTCATGTAACCACTACTACAATATTATAAGAATAGTTTTACTTTCTTAAAAATTTCTGTGCTTGATTTATTCATCCCTTCCCTTGGAGACTACTGGAAATTCTGATCTTTTTACAGTTTTTCCCTTTTTAAGAATGTTGTATCATTGGAATTATACAGTATACAGCCTTTTCAGATTAGCTTCTTTCACTAAGTTGTAGGCATTTTAGGTTCTTGCATGTTTTGTATGGTTTGATAGCTTATTTTTTAATCACTGAATATCCCATTTTATAGATATGCTAGTTTATTGAACCATTACTCACCTGTTGGCGGCATCTGGTAGCTACCAAGTTTTGTTATGAGAAAAGCTATTTTAAGGAGTCATGTGACTCATTTGGATAGGAATGAAGTTTTTTTGACTCATTTGGATAGGAGTGAAATATTTTTGACTCATTTGGATAGGAGTGAAGTTACTGGTCCATGTGGTAAGACTACATTTAACTTTGTAAGAAACTGCAAAGCTATCTTCTAACGTGGCTGTGCCATTTTGCATTCCCACAAGCAACAAATGAGAGTTTCCCTTGCTCTTTATCTTCAACACAATTTAGTGTTTTCAGTGTTCTGGATTTTAGCCATTTTAGTAGGCATGCGGTGGTATCTCGTTCGAATGAGCGATTCTCTAATAATACATGATGTTGAGCATATTTCATTCGCTTATTTGCCATCAATATATTTTCCTCAGTGAAATGTCTGTTCAGATCTGCCCATTTTTTAACTGGATTATTTATCTTTTTTTTTCTTTTTGAGTTTCAAGAGTTCTGTGGCGTGCTCATACCAGTTCTTTATTGGATACATGTTTTGTAAATATTGTCTCCCAGTCTTGGCTTGTTTTTTAAATATTAACTATGACTTTCTTAGAGCAGAAGTTTTAATTTTTATTAAATTCAACTTATAACATTCTTCTATAGTCTCACATTTTTATATTTAAATCTATTATCCATTCTTGTACATTGTGTATACACAGTGTCTACATTCTTTTTTTTGGATGTGGATGTCCAACTGTTCCAGTACCGTTTGTTGAAAATATGGTTTTGTGTGTGTGTGTGTGTGTGTGTGTGTGTGTGTGTGTGTGGTTATATCTCACGTTATGAGTATACAGTGTTTGGTTTATTTATTCACCCATTGATAAACTTTGGGTTGTTTACAGTTTAGTGTTAGTATAAATAAGTTTGTCATGGCCACTTGCAAACACATTCTTGTATGTATATACGCTATACTGTTTTCTGCTTAAAGAGCAACAGTAGAATAAGTAGGTAAAATGATGGGGGTCTATTTAACTTTGTAAGAAACAGTCCATTTTTTTTTCCCAGAGTGGCTGTATCATTTTACTTTCCTACCATCAGTATTTGAGAATTACAGTTGTTCTAAATCATCACCAACACACAAGATGATGAGTATTTTTAATTGTATTTATTCTAGTAGGTGTGGAATGGCATCTCATTTAATTTGTATTTCTCTAATGGCTAAAGATATTGAACATCTTTTGATGTGATTATTTGCTGTCTCTGAATTTCCTCTGGCAAAGTATGTGTTCAAGTATATTCTTTTCCTTATTGTTTATTATTGGTCTGTAATTTTCCTTATAATTGAGTTTACATATTTTGGATACACATTCTTTATCAGATATAATTTGGAAATGTCTATTCCTAGTTTGAGGCATATAGGGTAGAAATACAGAATTTTTTGTTTTTATGAAGTCATATCTATTGTTGTTGTAACTGGTTTTTTTGTTTGTTCTCTAGGTTGTTCTTTTGGGCCACATCTAAGAAATCTTTGTCTAGCCAAAAGCCACAAATAATTTCTCATTTTTTGGCTTCTGGAAGATGTACAGTTAAATGTTATATTTGGGACTGTTATCTAATTTGGTTAAATTGCACTCTACAATATGGTATTTGAATTGATGAAAAATTAGTAAATGTTAATATTTTTTAAAGTAGCCAAATCTTGCAATTTATATATAATAGAGAAGACTAGAAAATCCCCCATATTTATTTCCTCTTACTTCGTACTACTAAAATTTGTATTTAGGCATTTGGTTTCTCAGATAAACATTACATTCCCCAGTATATGGTTCTATCTGGCTTGGTGACGACATGTTGAACATTAAGATGTGAGCAGAAGTAATACATACACACTCTTTTTCATGTCTTTAATTGAATGGGATATTGGCCCATTTTTTCTTCCAGTTTATTACACTGAATATTGACATGTTATTTTCCAATATTGAGACAATCAATGACAAGACTTTAAGAGTAACAATGTAAAAATACAGAAGTTGTCTGAGTTTATCAACAATCCCCTGGATTAGAACCCCCTACCAGTTCTAGGTCATCTAATATATAGACATTGTGTTCAGTAGAAATAAATATATATATTTTTTATTATGCTTTAAGTTCTAGGATACATGTGCACAACATGCAGTTTTGTTACATTGGTATACACGTGCCATGTTGGTTTGCTGCACCCATTAACTCATCATTTACATTAGGTATTTCTCCTAATGCTATCCCTCCCCCTGCCCCCACCCCCGACAGGCCCTGGGGTGTGATTTTCCCCACCCTGTGTCCAAGTGTTCTCATTGCTCAATTCCCACCTATGGGAATACATTTTTAAATCATTTTTAAAGGTGTTATTACATTCTGATTGAACATTTTCAGAAAGAATAAATAATTTAATACAAGAAGTGGGCCACTTCATGTAACAAAACAAACCACCACTACAGCAACAACAACAAAAAACACTAATGAATGTGACTTTAGCTTTGCAACATCGTGACAGACTAGCAAGTTAATGACATTTGTTATGCCATAGAAAATATTTGTTGAATTGCCACTCTAATGACTTTATATCAGCCAACTCATTATCAACACTAGAAAAGATGATTAAAAAATACTTCAGTACGTTCACGTGTTGGCTTGTTAACATTTTTAAGAGTCTATAAGAGAAAAATGCATCCAATCTTGACAAAAATATTTTTCAAGTATCTTGTAGGTACGTACAACTAACTACCTTGTGAACAAAAGTCACTATATAATTATATAATTTCTGACACTTAAAAAAGTTTATTGTGCTAAAGAAGATATATGTTCTAATACCAAATCCACATATAAAATAATTGACTTAAATAATTTAAGATGCTCTTTTATATATTTATATTAAAAACTTTACAGAGAATAAAAAAAGCATTATACAGGCTACTTATGGTTTTTGATGTTTGGATCTACAATACATGTATCAAAGATTGTGGAAATAAATCAAACAATATATTCAATTGGACTTAATTGCATTATTACATGCCAAGTGTCGTATACCATCTATTTGCACATAACACTTTTTAATTTAGGTAAAATTATTATCATAAAGCTACATGAATTTATTTTATTCCATGTTATTATTTATGTATTGTTAGGAACATTTGCTTAAAAATCATATTTGGACATAGTTAGTATCAGATACTTTACATCCTTTGAATCAGTTATTTTATAACAGTATATACTAAACATCATTACTCCTTTTCAAACATAAATAACGCAATACAAATTGGACAAAAAATTCAGGAAAGATCTGGGATCAAAAAGGAGGTATTGAAACATCACATGTACTCCATAATTATATACAAATATTTTGTACCCATAATATTTAAAATACAGAAAATTAAAAGGTGCATTTTCCTCAAAGTGCATGCTTCTTTTGCTATGCAAAACTGCAAGATATGGAAAGAAGTGTATTAAAACACTAAATCACTTTATGTGGAAGATAAAAGGGATGGTACCCAATGTAAGACTTCATGTAGTGCACTGATACATTCAATACAAATGATGTATTAACTTCAAGATAACATGAGAAAGTTAAATTATCTAACTTATTTCAAACTAGGGGATAGTATGTTCTCATTATTAGAAGCCAGAATTCTGCTTATCCATTTCTATTATTAGAAAAAAACATAATTTTTATTCTTGTCTTAAAAATAGACACCATGATATCATTCTCTGTAAATGCAGCATGATAGTCTGTTTACAGAGTTTATATCATTCCAAGACTGCACTTCTAAAGTGAGAAAATATTAAAGGATATAAACTCACTCCTCTCTACAAAATTCCTTATTTTTTATGCAATGGCTTTAAAATGTATGGAAGGGGAGTTATGGAAACAATCCATACCTGGAAAGCATTCTATCCATGCCTTTGAAATGGTTATCTAGTACTAGATTCTTATCAGTGCCTAGCTATGTAATGTGTGTAGCTTAAGATTTTTAAGAAAGAAGGATAAAATGCTCAATATAAATTTAAAAAGCACTTTTATTGGAATATTGAATCATATATTTGCTTTCTGTAAGTCCTTTTATCTATAAAATAATAGTTGAGAAAGGCAAATAGAATATGTGGAGGAATTAAAAATTCAGTTGTAGGGTGGTAAATGAAAACCAAATTTTTCATTCACCACATTAAATGTAAATGGGTATTATACTCAATTTAAGCAGCAAAGTTGCTTTTTTTTTTTTTTTTTTTTTTGAGACAGAGACTCACACTGTCGCCCGGGCTGGAGTACAATGTTGCCATCTCGCTTCACTGCAACCCCTGCCTGCTGGGTTCAAGCCATTCTCCTGCCGCAGCCTCCCGTGTAGCTTCTTAAGATGTGAAGATTTTTAAATTAAGATGACTCTTGGGATGAACCATCTTGTGTTGGTTAAAGACTTTTACTGACATATTTTTAATAATTTTTTTAACTTTTATTTTCAGGTCAATGGCACATGCGTAGGTTTGTTATGTAGGTAAACTAGTGTCACAGGGATTTGTTGTGCAGATTATTTCACCACCCAGCTATTAAGCCTAGTACCCATTAATTGTTTTTCCTGATCTTCTGCTTCCTCCCACCATCCACCCTCCCAGAGGCCCCAGTGTCTGTTGTTTCCCTCTATGTGTTCATGTGTTCTCATAATTTAGCTCCCATTTGTAAATGAGAACATGCAGTATTTGGTTTTCTGTTCCTGCATTAGTTTGTTAAGGATAAAGACCTCCATCCAGCTCCATCCATGTTCCTGCAAAGGACTTGATCTCACTCTCTTTTATGGCTGCCTAACATTCCATGGTGTATATGAACCACAAAATAAAGATGGTTCTTAACTTTTAAATTAAGATTTTTAAATTAAGATGAATCTTGATTTTTAAATTAGTATGGTTTTAAGATAGTTTTACAGATAGATTAGATAATCTATCTAGAGATAGACAGGGAGAGATATCTATCAATACATATCTCTATCTAGATATAGATAGATGGTTTTCTATATAGACCTATCTATCTATATATGTATACATCTATATATGTCTACACATATCTCTATACACATATATATATTTATATCTACATCTATATTTCTACATGTATATAGGTATGTATATATCTACATGTATATATGTATATAGATAGATATATACATAGGTATCTGTATATATGCATATACATGCCTATCTTTATCTACATGTATATAGATATCATATACACACATAGATATATATATATATCGGCATGTAGATATTTATGTAGATATACATATATAGATATCTGCATATATACATTTGTATATATAGACATAGATATAAATATTAATATATCTATATATGTATATAAATACATATACATATCTGTATCTGTAGAAGATATCTACTATCTTCTATCTATATATCTATCTATAGAACCATCTTAATTTAAAAACCTTTCATATATGCATATAAAAGGTAATCAAACACAAGCCAAATGAAAATTTGTTTAGCTATGTTAATATCAGACAAAAGAGATTTTAAGGCAGAAATTATTACTTGAAAGGAAGATGTATCCATCATCCATATAAAAGAATCAACTATTGAGGAAGTTGTCAAACTTGTGTATGTATATTCACTCACACACAGTTAACACACATTTACAATTTTTATAGAACTAAAAGGAGCAATAGCCGCGTCTTCAATCATAAAGACTTTAATATACCTTTTTCAATAACTGATAGCAAAAAGGATACAAAATATCAATAATAATAGAAAAATTTAAAGCAGTAGGATTAAATACTTTGATATAAAAACTGCACCCAAAAATAGCAAAACACACAATTTATTATAATGTATTTGGAACGTGTTTCAAAATTTACCATAGCTATCTATAGATATCTCTGTCTATCTAGGTAGATAGATAATAGATAGGTAGGTAGGTAGATAGATAGATAGATAGATAGATAGATAGATAGATAGATAGATAGGTTAGATAGACAGATATAGGCTGAGGTTAGGCCCAAAACAAGAATCAATAAATACCAAAAATTTGAAATCCTTGACAGTGTTTTTTGTACAACAATGTTATTAAGCTGCAAATCTATAGCAAGACTTTGAAAGTGACCAAATGTTTAGAAATTAAGCATCACATTTCTAAGTTATTCATGGATCGAAAAAGTAATTACAGTGAATATTAAAATATATTTTGAATTTAATAAAAACGAAAGTAAAAATACTGCTTGTTAAAAGATGGGAGGCTTAGGCAAACCTCAGCTTGGAGATAAATGCATATGCTTACATAAATATGTTTAAAAAATTAAAGCTTGAAAATTAATAATCTAATTGTCAATTTCAAAAATTTAAAATGTGATGTCAAATTAAATCCAAAGAATTAGAAAAGAGAAGATACATAAGAAGCATGAGAAAAGGAAACAATCATAAAATAAATGAAATCAGCAAAAGCCAAAGTTACTTTGAAAAGACTGATAAAAATATACCATGATTATGCATGAAATTTAAAAAAAAGAGTATCCACAAATTCTAAATATCATGAATAATAACAAGGAAATCATTATAGATTCTATAGTCATGGGAGAGAAAAAGAGAATGTAATAAGTAACTTTAAGTCAAAAATTTTGAAATAATTTGATGAAATAGATACATTTCTAGAAAATCATTAATAGTGACACAAGAATAAATAGCAAATCCTAATAGCTCTATATCTATTAAAAATAAAATTACAATTAAAGCTTTCCAAATGTAGTGAGTCTAAATCAAATAAAATATTAAAAATCTGAAATGTTTCCAGGAAGAAACATTGAATTCCTAATATAAAATGTAACATATCATATGCAATCCCTTTACTGAAAATTGTGAAATTTTACTGAGAGAAATTAAAGATATTCAACAGAAATAAAGGTGTACTGTGAGTCCTATGTCATTCCTGGTATTAGAAGAAAGATTCAGTATTTTAAATAAATCTATATTTGTAATACACTGAAAATCACAATACTGTGATTAGTAATAGCATAATTTGTCTGCATTATATTTGGTGGCAACTGAAAAACTGACTATAAAATGCAAATAAAAATGCAGTGTATAGATAACTTTGAAGAAAAAATATAATGTGAAGACTTACACTATTAGATATAAAGTTTTTATAAATGTATATTAATTATGACATTATGGAAAAGGTGCAAGTATAGATATTTCAATGAAACAGAATAGAGAGCTCGTAAAGAGAACCACACAATATATTTAGCTGATTTGTGAAAAAAATAGTGCTTCAGTACAATGAGGAAAAGATTCATTTTCAATAAATTGTGCTGTCTTTCATACATCGGTACAGATAAAAATGAATATTAACATCCAACCTCACAACATACACAAAAATTATTTCATATAGAAGCCAATGTGTAACATAAAACAGTACAGTTTTTAAAAAGTAATACAGAGGACACTTCTATGACCTTAAGATTTTAAAAAAGACTCAAAAAGTAACGATTGAAGGCTAATAAATAAGATAAATAAGTTAATAAATAGTAATAAAATAACATAAAAAATAAGGATTTGTAATCATAAAATAACTCACTGAGAGTGAAAAGGCAAGCAACAGAATGGGAAATGAAATTTGCAAACATAAATACAATAAGAACTCTTGATCAAAAGATACTTTTTAAACTCTACAAATGAATTTTTTGAAAAAAAAAATATGGCCAGGTACAGTGGCTCACGCCATTAATCCCAGCACTTTGGGAGGAACACTTGAGCCCGAGAATTTGAGACTTGTCTGGGCAACACAATGAGAGACCTCTGCCTCTACAAAAAATTTAAAAGATTAGCCAGGCATGGTGGCCGTGGCCTGTAGTCCTAGCTACTCCTAAGTAGCTAGGCTCTTTTGAGTCTGGGAGGTCAAGGATGCAGTGAGCTCTGAGCAACTGCTGCACTCCAGCCTGGGTGACAGAGTCAGAACCATCTCCAAAAAAAATTGATGTAGAAGAACTTCTAAGAAGTGAGAGTGGAGACAGAGGCCAAAGATGCTGCTCTAGGCTGCTCCGTGAATTCCAGGACTTCTGAGAAGCACCTTCTGGACAGCGTCTTTACTGCCCTCCAGGACTCAGCTGGTCAGCAATGGCCAGCCAGACTCCATCCCCAGCGTGGAGAGGAGGTAGCTGATCCCAGAGGCGCTCCTAGCAGGCATGTGGAACCCGAGAACAGCTCGCCCTGCCAAGGCAATGGAGAGCAGGCCGGCAAGGCAGGAGCTCGGGCTCTGTGTGGCCAGGCAAGGAGGAGCCCCGCAACCATGCCACCACCCCTTACTACAAGAAGCCTCTGTATGGCATCTCCCACAAGGTCATGGAGAAGAAGAACCCTCCCTCGGGGGACCTGCTAAACACGTATGAGCTCTTCCAGAAGGCAAATTCCAGCAACAGCCCCTCGCTGCTTAGGCTCCTGAATGAGCCATAGAAGTGGGACTGTGGCAGCACTGGGGCAGCCACCAACAGTGACCCTAACATCTACTTCCTGATCCAGGAGATGTTCTACATGCTCAACACCCTCACGTCCAACAGGTCCCAGCTACACAGCAAAGTGGACCTGCTCTCCCTGAAGGTGAACCCCACTGAGATGGTGGCCAAATTCCAGCCGACCCCCACCACCCCGTAGCAGCTCACGGGCATGGAGCTTAAGCAGATCTTGGACCAGAGCCTGTCAGGCGGGGTCCTGGCCTGCTGCCCGCTGGTGCAGCTCTTCCCCAAGCTCTTCAGCCACAGTCAACTTCTCCCGAGGCTGCAGTGCCTGCAGCTTTGAGGCCAAGCTTAAGCTGGAGTCACTGCACCTGCAGCTCATCCACAACTACATGGAGGTCTACTACCCCTCGGTGAAGGAGAGGGCTGTGTGACAGGCCGAGTGCTTGCCCCAGCTGAATAAGTTCTTCAGCCACTTCTGGGCCCAGCGGGAGATGGAGAACAGCCAGCCCGGTGGCCAGGCTGCCAGCTTGAGGCTGAGCAGTGGACCCCGGCCACTTCCTGGACCACAAAGACGAGGAGGAGGGCCTGTCTCTGGACTGGAGCAGCACCATCGCCTCAGACCACGTGGTGGACATGTAGGCCCTCACTTAGTTCCTGCATGAAGCCTCTTCACAGGCGAGTTTGCCGTCTTCCTCCTCCACTGGCTCTTCCCTGAGCTCTTCCACTACCGCAAGCTGGGCGAGCAGGACAGCTGCTACGGGGACGGCGGCAAGCAGGAGCTGGACCCGCAGAGGCTGCAGATCATCTGCAACTTCACGGAGGTCTACTTCCCCCACATGCAGGAGGAGGAGGCCTGGCGGCAAGCAGGACCTGGACCCGCAGAGGCTGCAGATCATCTGCAACTTCACGGAGGTCTACTTCCCCCACATGCAGGAGGAGGAGGCCTGGCTGCAGCGGTGCGCCCAGTGCATCAACGACAAGCTTCAGGGCCTGGGGCTGGACGCAGGCAGCGAAGGCGAGCCCCCCACGCGACAACTGCTACAACTCCTCCAGCCTGCCCGATGACATCTCAGTAATCAGGGTGGAGGATAGCTTCAAGGGCGAGCGGTGCCGCTCCAAGAAGATCTGACTGGTACCTATCGACTTGGTCAAATTGGAGATCCCCAGCCCAACTTGGAGGTGCCCGGCGCCGACGGCCTGCTCAGCAACGAGCATCTTCACAGTATCTACGAGAGCAGCCTGTCCATCGGCAACTTCACCTCGCGCCTGCTGGTGCCCCTATTCCCCAAGCTCTTCACCCATGACAACCTGCACAAGCAGCACAGCTGCAGCGACTCCCTGGGCAAGAAGCAGCTGGACCCGTCCTGCATCAAGCTCATTCGCCACTAAGTGCACCTGCTCTACCTCTGCACCAAAAACAATCGCGTCTGGACCCTTGAGTTCATGGGCAACCTGCACTGGAACAGGAACAGAGGCGCTCCTACCAGCAGCAGTGCAAGGTCCACGTGCTGGCCCCGAGTGTAAAGACATGAGGAGCTATGCAATCAATCCTGAGAGGTTCAGAGAGGAGTCTGAGGGTCCCCCGCTGCCCCCGAGAGGAGCAGCAAGGACTTCTGCAAGATCCCCTTGGATGAGGTGGTGGTCCCTCACTGAGCTTCCCGGTGCGCTCTCCCTACCTGCTGTCCGACAAGGAGGTGTGCAAGATCGTGCAGCAGAGCCTCTCCGTGGGCAACTTTGCCGCGGGGCTCCTCCACCGCCGAGAACCTCCAGCTGCAGTACAACAATTTTCGGGCTTGCAACAAGAAGCAGCTGGACCCTACGCAGCTGCGGCTCATCTGCCACTAGGTGGAAGCCGTCTACCCCGTGGAGAAGGTGGAGGAGGTGTGGCACTGCGAATGTATCCCCAGCAACGACGAGCAGTGCCACTGCCCTAACAGGAAAAAATGCAACATCCTCAAGAAAGCCAAGAAAGTGGAGAAGTGAAGGCCCGTGGCCTGCCCAGAGACTCGGGGTCACCAGAGACTGAGCTTAGGAGCATGCCTATGGCATCCACAGACAGGCACCTTATGTCTGTGGGGTGTGGCTTACTACACTTGCACATGTAAACACCCAACCAACCACAAGAAAGAAGACTTGAGTTTGGTCTCTTGTCCTCTAGACTTCTGTCCTGTGTTCCCTGGTGGTGCAGCCTGAGTGTGGGGAGCGCAAGCTGTGAGAGCAGGGACTAGTGGGTAGGGGTCCTCTCTACCTGGTCGTGTCCTCCCCAGCCCCTCACAATTTCAAATGCAAACTCAGCAGCTCTCTTGCTCCTCTTCCCATATTTTACAGCTTTCATTTTTATCCAGTTTTTTTAAAATGAAAAATAAACCCTTAAAAAAATCATTGGGCTCTTTGGGGGCCATTTTACTTAGAAAAAAATCTTTTTAAAAGTGCCATCTTCAGGCCAGGCACGGTGGCTCATGCCTGTAATCCCAGCACTTTGGGAGGCCAAGGCAGGTGGATTACCTGAGGTCAGGAGTTCAGGACCAGCCTGGCCAACGGTGAAACCCCATCTCTACTTAAAAAAAAAAGAAGCAAAAATTAGCCAGGCGTAGTGGTGGGTGCCTGTAATCCCAGCTAGTCAGGAGGCCGACAGGAGAATCACTTGAACTCGGAAGGCAGAGGTTGCAGTGAGCCAACATAGCGCCACTGCGCTCCAGCCTGGGCGAAAAGAGCAAAACTCCGTCTCAAAATAAATAATAAATAAATAAATAAGTAAATAAAAGTGCCATGTTCGTGTACAATGCCTAATCATAGCTTCAGGTGACATGGATACTGATTTTACTGACCTTGTCTTTTACATCTGATTCTGGAAGAGTCAAGAGGCCTCTTGGATGGCAGTAGAGGGGATGGAACAGTGTGAAGTCCTTTGCGACCATGTGCAAGTTTTCCCTTCTGCTCCAGTGCCTCAGAAGGCTTCCATTCAGCTTGGCCTGTCCATCAGGCACGTGGGTAAAATGTTGTGCTCACTGTGTAGAGGAGAACACTCGATGATGATGAAGAATGTAGAAAGCCATGGAAACATGTCCGCAGTGTCTTCATTTGAGCTGTGTCCTTCCACTGTCCCCATTCCCTCTCCACACATGGTTGCTTGTCAGAGATTCTGGGTTCTGGGAGCTGTGTGGTGACTTCCCCAAACCTCAGTGTTAGCTCCTCCAGGCAGCACCACATCCTCGTTCCCCAGGGCGGTCCATGTCTGGGCCCCTCTTGGGGATACCAGGCATTGGAAGGACACAGGTCATCTCAGATGGGGCACCCATGTCCCTTCCCAGGGTCCACTCAGAACTTTCCCCTTGGACCCCCTAGAAAGTCCTGCTGTCCTCCACCTGGCTACCTCTTGGCTTTGGGAGACACATGTCTTCTCTCCCCACTGACTGAGAATGTCAGACTCCCGCCGGCCAGCTGCATGCTTTCCAGGAGCACCAACCAGGAAATTCCCTGACAGGTAAAATCTTTAAAAATGACACTTTTACCTACCTAACTTTGGGGGCCAAATGCCTAAGAGGGAAAGGAAACAGTCTAACCAGGGTCCAGGAAAATTAATTGAATCCCATGGGGTAGACATAAAACCCCTGTGGGAATATTACAGGTTCAATAACCTAATGGCTTAGTATTTTGCTACTTTAAAATGCAGAGATAACAGAAACAATCTGAATATTCTTCACATAGCTGGTAAGGACTTCAGTTCCAGTGGCCATATGACATAATTTTGCCTGTACCCAGAGGCATTTTTAAAAATATAATATCAGATTTTAAGCAATGTAAAGTTGCTAATCTAACTTGTAAATTTGCTCGTGTCATTTACAGATTATTTCTGTTGAAACTGCAAACCTGAATTGCTGAAATCTAGAAAGGCACAGGGACTTACTCTGTCACACACAGCTACTCGTGCACACACACACTGCTTACTAAAAGCTGAGGTGAGAGGAAGGGGGCCTACATGAATAACAAGTTCAACTTCTTTGTGCCTGGAAAGAAGGGACTAGCGCAGCCAGGAGACTCACTTTACCTCATTGCTTGGGCCCTTCTCTATGCCTTAGTCTCTCCAGCACATGCACACAGCATGCACACACAGGCTCCCTACCCAAAGACAGCTGTGGCCTTCTCTCCACCTGGCCGCTGGTTGTTGGGGCTGAGGGGTCCCATGAAATTTGTTCTGGTTTCTATGATGTAAACAAGAAGACTCTAAGCCCTGAATTGCCCTGCTTTCTAGAGGGTGAAATGTTGACCCTGCAACTTTAGAACCACAATTATTAATAACTCTTTTGAAATTCCCATCTACCCATGTCAGAGAAGTTCAACAAGTTCTAGGAATTAAATATGTCTGTTTGTAACCTAGAGCATGCTCAATTTTTGGAAACCATATTTCAGTGATGATTTTCTTAACACCTTTCACGTGTAGGGCTTCTTGCCTCAAAATGTTACAGTCCCTTTCTGTGAAGAGAAATGGACACATCCTGGGAACTATTCCTGTCCCTCTGGACTGTCGTCAGGAAACGACTGCAGGTCCTGTGCCCTGTCTATATCATGTCCTCACTTCTCCATCCATACAGGTGGCTCCAGTGGGCATTTTTTTATTTTAAACTTTTTACACGAAGGAAGAGAAGTAGAAAATACTGATTTTTTTCAAAATTTAATGTGTTCCATGAAATCTACTGGCAATCCCTTTCCTTCCCCCTGTCTAAATTCTTTGGTTTTTACTTGTTTGTTTTTTTTTGTCTTGTATCCCAAGGACTAAAAAATTAGCAGACACGTTTTGATGTTGACTGAACTAGTAAGTCACAGTAGGTGGTAGGGTTCATTGGTTTCTCTGTTAGTAAGTTTTTAAAGAATGAAGATAGTTATGAATGTACTGAGTGGCCGTTTAATTGGTAAGGGTCGCTGACCCAAAAACACTAGAGCATGGCCACGTGGTTTCCTGTAGAGACGGCCTCAGTTTCCAACATTTTCCCCAAATGTTTGCTTCTCACCCAATAGAGGGAGGATCTTGAGACTCCCAAGTGGTGGTGAGCTTGCACCCTGCCTCACTGTGTAGACAGACTGTATGGATATATGAA